>NC_000001.11:246638667-246790182 GCF_000001405.40 Homo sapiens | reverse complement strand
CTCAGTGACCTCCCTCGGCCTCCTGTCCCTGGCCACACTGCCCTTCTTTTGGTTGTTCAGCAGCCGTCTCTGCCTCACCAAGACTTACCGCCCAGGAGGGCTTAGCTTGGGCATCACGCCTCGGAAAAGGCCGTCTGTAGCCTGTAGTCTGAGTTAGGTCCTGGTGTCCCCTGCAGCCATTGCTGCACTCACCCAGACCAGCCTGGAAAGCGTGGAGGGAGGGCCTGGCTCTGGGTGGTCCCCACAGAACCCCAGGGCCAAGGGAGTCACGCCCTCAATGTGTGCAATGAAGGTGAACGCAGGAGCCAGAGGCCACCTCCCTCCTGTCTGCGTCTCTCCCTGTCTGGGGGATTCCTGAGGGGAGGACATTCCTCAGATCCTTCTCACTGGGGAGGTTCACCTCACCCTCCTTGGCCTCGAACCCCTCCTGAGCCCACCGTCTCCTCCCCAGGACCGCCTGATTTTGGGATCCAACAGCACCTACCTGTACGTGGGGTTTCCTTCGGAGTGGGGCAGTGAGGACCTGAGCAGGTTCGATTACGACTTCTTCCAGCTGGAGAGGGCGGCTGCGGAGGGAGCGAGTGCAGACAAACTCGGTGAGCCCCCTCCTGACTGCTGGCCTCTCCCGTGTGCTGATCTGAGAGCAGCGATTTCACACTGTGTCTCTCTGCTTTCCTTAAGAACATCATCATTTGTTTTGTCAAAGTCTGATGTTTACAAAATTGAATTATGATTTCCATATAGAGTGACTACATGGTAAACATTCAACTCGTTAAACGTTCCCTGAGGAATGAGGGTAAAGATGGTTCAAAGGGGTAGAGAAGAGAGTGGGGTACCCAGCAAATGAGAGAAGAATGCTGAGCTGGAGAAGCCAGTTAGTGGCCTCCGGCCGCCCCCAGGGGCCTGCTGGGCCTGCAGAAGCAGTGGCCCAACTCCAGAGGGGCCGGCTGGGGCCTGCTGTGGGCTGCAAATGCGCGGCCCGGAAGAACGTGCAGCCCGAGGCCTCTGAGACAGAATCTCCCCTCCTCGCCCGAACGCAGCCCCCAGCAGTAGCCCACGCGGGCCGCCCGCCGCTGCCGGTCTCTGCTGGGGCTTTCGCGCGCCTTCCCCGCCCCTCTCCCCGCCCCGATTCACCGCGCTCCGGGCGGCTCCCCCAGAATCCTGGCCAGGCCGGAGCCCGCTGCGATCTGAGTGACCTGCGGGCTTCCCGGAGGGGCCCCACGCTTTGCTCGGCACCGGGACTCTGCCTGAACTCGCAGTAATGAAACCGCTGGTGGAAAGTGGGCAGATCCACCTGTGTGTGTGCAAGAGCTCCTCCCTGTCCCCACACCACAGTGTTTCTCTCAGAATTTCAGCAAAATAAATCGATTAGAAATTCACCTCCTTGCTCTTCTTCTGCTGAAGTTTTCGACTTTTAAAAATGAACAAGGCCGGGCGCGGTGGCTCACGCCTGTAATCCCAGCCCTTTGAGAGGCCGAGGCGGGCAGATCACGAGGTCAGGAGATCGAGACCATCCTGGCTAACACAGTGAAACCCCGTCTCTACTAAAAATACAAAAAAGTAGCCGGATGTGATGGCACACACCTGTAGTCCCAGCTACTCAGGAGGCTGAGGCAGGAGAATTGCCTGAACCTGGGAGGAGGAGGTTGCAGTGAGCTGAGATCGTGCCACAGCACTCCAGCCTGGGTGACAGAGCGAGACTCCATTTCAAAACAAAACAAAACAAAACAAAACAACGAACCAGTAAGACTCTGTCATACCAGGCCCGGAAAAGCCATCTGTTCATTGACCTGTCCTCAGAGGTTGACCGTGCCACTGCCCCTGTGGCCCTGGTGGCGCCATGAAGCTGAACCAGCCCCAGACCCTGGCTCGGACCCTAGGGAAGACTTGGGTCCCCAACAAGGCAGCAGCTGTGTGAGCAGTTTGGGGTCAGACCTCAGGGCCAAGGGCACTGTGTGCACCCACAGGCCAGGGGTCTCTAAGAGTTGAGATTTCCTGATTAGAGGCAGTACCAGCCTGGGTTTGGGAGGGAGATTGATCCTCCCATAATCTCCACGAGCCCCTCCTTCAAGCCACCCCAAGTATAAGAGAAGCACAGGTCACTTGCTGTGCCAGCAGCAGCTTGAGGATACCTCCAGGCCTTCCGTCTAGCCAGCCATGTTTCACCTCGCCCCACCCTCCTCCAGTCTGGAGCCACCTTGGGTCAAGGACCCTGAGACCAAGAATGGGAACTGGGGGCAGAGGACCTCCTGCCTGCGGCCAGGATTCATGGGTCGAGATAAGCAACCACGTAAGGAGAAGCCAGGCAGTGTCATTTTCCCTTGTTTGTTTTTAAATTACATGCTTGTAATTTTAAAATGTAGATATTTGATGAACAGCTGAACAAATGAATGAACAAATAAGCATACACATTTATTCATGGCGGCTGGGCGTGGTGTCTCATGCCTGTAATCCTAGCACTTTGAGAGGCCAAGGCAGGAGGATCGCTTGAACCTGGGAGTTCAAGACCAGCCTGGGAAACAAAGTGAGACCTCATCTCTACAAAATATTTTAAAAATTAGCCAGGCATGGTGGCTTGCACCCGTAGTCCCAGGTACTCAGCAGGCTGAGATGGGAGGATTGCTTGAGTCTGGGAGGTGGAGGCTGCAATGAGCAGAGATCATGCCACTGAACGCTAGCCTGGACGACAGAGCAAGACAGCTGTCTAAAAAAAAAAGAAAAAGGGCTTGGCATGGTGGCTCATGCCTGTACGCCTGTAATTCCAGCACTTTTGGAGGCCGAGGTGGGCAGATCACCTGAGGTCAGGAGTTCGAGACCAGCCTGGCCAACATAGTGAAACCCCATCTCTACTAAAAATACAAAAATTAGCCGGGTGTGGTAGTGCGCACCTGTAATCCCAGCTACTCAGGAGGCTGAGGCAGGAGAATTGCTTCAACTTGGGAGGCAGAGGTTGCAGCGAGCCGAGATGGCGCCACTGCACTCCAGCCTGGGCAACGAGAGTGAAACTCTATTTCAAAAAAAAAAAAAAAAAAAAATTCTTCATGGCGGAACAAGTGACTGACTTTCGCCTCCACTGTGATTGTTGCCAGGTGCTGCGGACGGTGGAGACGGCAAGGCGGGCCCCAGTGTCCTGGCTGCGTTCCAGGACTACATCAAACTGATGCCGCTGGTTCAGAAGCAAATCAAATGAGTGAAGAGCCAAAGAAGGTAAGTTAGCTGGAGCCAGGAGCTGGTGTGCCAGGTGCAGAAAGGACCTCAAGGCCTTGTGGGGCAGGGGTGCGTTCCCAGGGACTCTCAGGGAACTAGCCACAGAAGCCAGACTGCCCAGCCCAGGCCCGAGTACCATTCCTTTCACCAACAGCCTACCAGGGCCACCGGGATCCCAGACCAACTCTTGCTGGCCATGAGCAGGCCCTCCCAGATGGTCCTGGGGCCTCTCCGGGTCTAGGCACCCTGATGGCTGCTGTGCCACACAGACCACCTGGGCTGGGGACAGCTCCCTGGAGACGTGAGCTCCCATCGGCCGGAACCTTGTAAGAGATTTAATCAATTTGGTAGGGACTCCAAGTGTTAGTTCCAGGATATAATGGAGAAAATCTGGTGCTCTGTCTTTCCTCTTAGTGGGAAATCCAAGGGGCAAGAGTGGGACATCTTAGAGAGAGTCTTATTCATTCATCATTTAGGAAGCCCGAGGGTGGGAGAATGAAAAATAAATTGCAAAGGTGGTATGAGCTGTGAATGTAGGATTTTTTTTTTCTTTTTGACAGGGTCTCAATCTGCCGCCCAGGCTGGAATGCAGTGGTGCAATCATGGTTTACTGCAACCTCCACTTCCCGGGTTCAAGTGATCCTCCCACCTCTGCCTCCCAAGTAGCTGGGATTACAGGTGTGCACTTCCATGCCTGGCTAATTTTTGTATTTTTAGTAGAGATGGGGTTTTGCTATGTTGCCCAGGCTGGTCTTGAACTCCTGGGCTCAAGCGATCCACTCGCCTCAGCCTCCCAAAGTGCTGGGATTACAGGCATGAGGGACTGTGCCCAGCAGAATGTACAATTATTTAGTGAGAAGTGTTTCTTTTACCAGGGACTTAACATGGAATTGAAGGTGAAAAATTTGGCATCGTCAGATTCCAGGGGCTATGACCTACAGAAGGAGGTCTTGGTGAAGGTGACCCACCACGGGTCTCACGAGGTGAGGCCCCACAGGGATGGGACTCAGGAGGTGAGGATCCATGGGGATGGGACTCAGGAGGTGAGGATCCACGGGGACGGGACTCAGGAGGTGAAGATCCATGGGGACGGGACTCAGGAGGTGAGGATCCACGGGGAAGGGACTCAGGAGGTGAAGATCCATGGGGACGGGACTCAGGAGGTGAAGATCCATGGGGAAGGGACTCAGGAGGTGAGGATCCACGGGGAAGGGACTCAGGAGGTGAAGATCCATGGGGACGGGACTCAGGAGGTGAGGCCGCACGGGGACGGGACTCAGGAGGTGAGGATCCACGGGGACGGGACCCAGGAGGTGAGGATCCATGGGGACACAGGTTATCTTTACCAGCTGCAGCCTCCGGAGACCCAGTCAAGGGCAAAACGTATTCCAAGTATGAGCTGGAGCTCTGGGGAACAGGGGGATCCACTCTCCCGTTCCCTGTCCTGGGTCCTCCCTCCCAGCACCAGCCATTCCCTGTCCTGCACCCTCCCTCACAGCACCAGCTCCTGGGAGCGTTCCTAAGCTAGCCTGCACTGAGCATCTGTTCATGCTGAGTATGACTCAAAGGCTTTTGTACCAGAAGGGAGCCTGGGAGTTTATACAAGTGGTAGTGGTGTCTGTCCATGCACGTAGGTGCGTGTGTGTGTGTGCAAGTGTGTGTTTGTGTGTACATGTGCCCGTGAGAACACAGACTGCCTTTCTGCAGCAATGAGAAAAGCAATCCTCCTAGGGACTCCAGAAAAGGCTGTTTCACCAACTCCACTGGCTGGACCTTACTATCAGGAAATTCCATTTTAGAAACTTAAGACCCTGTTTCCTCTCCCTCTGCCTCCAAAGGAGGAAACAGAAATGCAGGCCCATCTTGCAGCACCCCTTGTGCATATCAGGCCCCTGGAGGAGCAGCCCTCAGGCTTCCGGCTCCAGCACACTCACCCGTTGCCTTTCCAGACTGCGCCTCCGGCCCCCACCCCGGGCTGCTCCCTCCCTGCTCAGCAATTGAAGCTTCTCTGAGTTTCACTTTTCTGCTCATCTGCTCATCGCCCGAAAATTGCCAAAATGTTCTGGGCCGAGACCGATTTTTGTAAAGCTTTTAAAAATTGTGAAATGAGCTAAGACTATAAGCATGTGTGTGCGTCCCATGTGGTCAGCACCTGTGCACTGCATCCACCACCCCGTCCACGGGGTTTCGCCCTCCAGGTGCTGGGGCTGCCAAGATGCTGCCCCAGGGAGGAAACCAAGCAAGGATCCTCCTGGAGCCCAGCTCCTCAGAGACCGGCCCCTTTCCTGCAGGTCTGTGTGATGCAGACAGGGTCTCCCGTGAGACCCTCACCCTAGGGAGTCAGCATGGACTTCTCTGCCATGTTCCGTGAGGCCTTGGAGGGGACCCCTCAGTGTGTTTGTACTTTGCATTTTTCTTTTTTTTCCAGCAAAGGCCACTGGGGCAAAGTGGCTCTGGTGCCCCGATATTCCACGTGCCTCTTTCGGGCCAGGCTTTCCCCTAGAATTTGGCTTGGCAGTTTCCTGTCTTGTCAGACCTTGTTTTAAGAAAATTTGTAATTCTAAAAAACCATTTTCCATGCTATTCTATTTTGTATTATAGTCCAAGGTAGTTCGAAAAATAGCCTTTTAAACTGTTGCTAACAGAAGGGTTATTGAGTGCACACGAAGACACTCATGAGCACCTGCCTGTCATTACCAGAAACAGAACAGGAGACGGTGTTCTCACACTTATCATTGGGAGAATTGTATGGGAGGGCTGAGGGCCTGGATTCATGCCCTCATTTTCCTTCAGCCCAGCATCCTGTCACTGGGACAGGTAGCTGTCTGATAGGACTGCTTCTGCTTAAACATACCAGGTTCTCTTTTAAGGGGGTCGTACAGTTTGTTTTTTTTTTTTTCTATTTTTTTTCTCATGAAGATATGAATCTTACCAATCTGTCTTCCTCAAGACTGTCCATTTTTACATTAAAACAGTAAGATTAGGCCCAGCACGGTAGTTCGCATCTGTAATCCCAGGATTTGGGGAGGCCGAGGTGGGTGGATGGCTTGAGCTCAGGAGTTTGAGACCAGCTTGGGCAACATGGTGAAACCCCGTCTCTACAAAAAATACAAAATTAGCTGAGTATGGTGGTGAGCACCTGTAGTCCCTGCTACTGGGGAGGCTGAGGTAGGAGAATCACCTGAGCCTGAGGAGGTCGAGGCTACAGTGAGCCGTGATCACACCACTATTCTCCAGCCTGGGCGACAGACAGAGACCCTGTCTCAAAAAAACAAGTAAGCTTAGTGCCAGTGACCTGTCTTCAGATGAAGCCCTGCTTTCCTCAGGAGGCTTCTGGGAGGCTGCAGCCTGAGAGTCTCCTGTGACATGGTATGTAGATGGAGGCTTCTGGAAGGCTGTAGTCTGAGGGTCTCTTGTGACATGGTGTGTAGATGGAGGCTTCTGGAAGGCTGCGGTCTGAGGGTCTCCTGTGACATGGTATGTAGATGGAGGCTTCTGGAAGGCTGTAGTGTGAGGGTCTCTTGTGACACGGTGTGTAGATGGAGGCTTCTGGAAGGCTGTGGTCTGGGGGTCTCTTGTGACACGGTGTGTAGATGGAGGCTTCTGGAAGGCTGTGGTCTGGGGGTCTCTTGTGACACGGTGTGTAGATGGAGGCTTCTGGAAGGCTGTGGTCTGGGGGTCTCTTGTGACACGGTGTGTAGATGGAGGCTTCTGGAAGGCTGTGGTCTGGGGGTCTCTTGTGACACGGTGTGTAGATGGAGGCTTCTGGAAGGCTGTGGTCTGGGGGTCTCTTGTGACACGGTGTGTAGATGGAGGCTTCTGGAAGGCTGTGGTCTGGGGGTCTCTTGTGACACGGTGTGTAGATGGAGGCTTCTGGAAGGCTGTGGCCTGGGGGTCTCTCTTGTGACACGGTGTGTAGATGGAGGCTTCTGGAAGGCTGTGGTCTGGGGGTCTCTTGTGACAGGGTGTGTAGATGGAGACGTCTGGAAGGCTGTGGTCTGGGGGTCTCTTGTGACAGGGTGTGTAGATGTTGGCAGTGCATGTGAGACAGGCACTTCCGAAGACTAGAAGAGCAGCAGAGACAGCTGTGGGTCCCAGCTAGAAACACGAATGCTACTTTGCGGTTGATCTTGTATGTGTTTACCTATCCTCCCTGCTGACCGTGTGGACGGTGACTGCTGCTGCAGCTCTCAGGGAGGACGCAGTGTTGTGCAGCTGTTGGGAGTCACATATCATAGACAAGCTCACGAGCAAACCAGGGCTGTGTGAGGGTTGGGGAGGGTTTTTTGACCTGGAAATGCTGCCAGCTTGCGGTTACCTTTCAGCAGTATTCACCCAACAGCTGTTGGCTCTGGTGAGCAGCACATCCTGCCAGGGAACTCTGAGCCAGGCCTGCAGAGCCCACCCGGGAGCAGGCGGGAGTCAGCATGGGCTCGCAGCCTATCCTGGAGCCTCGCCGACCTGTTTCCTCCTCAGGCCAAGGATGACATGCAATTTTAACTGACACCAGGCCTGTGGTCTGATATCCAGAGGTAATGAGGCAGTGAATTCATTTATTATTTAGATTCCCATGATCTTAGTTCCCTAAAGTCTTTAAGAAAAAAACAGAATAAGCCGGTGCAGGCGCACGCCTGCAGTCCAGCTACTCAGAGGCTGAAGCAGGAGGCCCGCCTGAGCCCAGGAGTTCAAGGCTGCAGTGAGCTAAGATTGAGCCACTGCATTCCAGCCTGGGTGACACAGCAAGATCACATGTCTTAAAAAGAAAAGAAAAACACAAACAGAAAAACCACAATGACTAGAACTCCTGTTGTTCCCTGCTGCCCCCATATTTTTTTTTTTTTTGAGATGGAGTCTTGCTCTGTCACCCAGGCTGGAGTGCAGTGGCGCGATCTTGGCTCCCTGCAAGCTCCATCTCCTGGGTTAAAGCGTTCTCCTGCCTCAGCCTCCCAAGTAGCTGGGACTACAGGTGCCCGCCAGCACTCCCGGCTAATTTTTTGTATTTTTGGTAGAGACGGGGTTTCACTGTTAGCCAGGCTGGTCTCGATCTCCTGACCTCGTGATCCGCCCGCCTCGGCCTCCCACAGTGCTGGGATTACAGCCGTGAGCCACCGCGCCCGCCCCCCCACATTCTTATTTAATGGTGGTGCCGCCTCTAGGAGAGCACTACGGTTCTTCACTTTGAGGCCAACAAAGATGGAATCTGTTTTCAGAGTCCTGAGAATGTCCTTTTTATGAAGAGACATCATACATGGAACGACTTGTCTGCTGATTTTTGCTTTTGCTTTTCCAGTTGCTCAGAAAAGGAGTTGCTAGTTTTACCTGATATTTATGGTCTAAAAACGACCTACCTGGAATCCCTCTGGAATCCCTCCTCCTGTGGCTTCAGGTTTGTTTCCTCTCCAGAGCCAGTGCTGACAGAGGCCCTGTCCTCACCCAGTGAGGAGGAAGACAGCGGCAGGCTGTTGTCCTGGATCTGCTGTGCACTGGGTGTGGACCCCTGAACAAGGAAGGACGCCTGCTTGGGTCTCTACAGAATGGAGCTCAGAATGCCTGCCATGCTGGGCTGGGAAGGCTGTGGGGAGTGTCTCCTGTGCTTGTGGATGTGTGCCCGTGTGCACTCCAGTCATGGCGGGGGAGCCACTTCTCAGCTCTTCTCCAGACTAACTACCCCCGCATCATCTTCCATGGCTGCTGTTCATGAATGACCAGGCTCATTAAATGACCCAAACTTACTACCTTATCGTTCTACACGTGAGAAGTCCAAATTGGGTCTCATTGGGCTAAAAGCAGGGTGTCGACAGAGCGGTACTGCTTTCTGGGCCTGAGGAAGAGAATCTGTTTCCCGGCCCCTTCCAGCTTTTAGAGGCCACCTCCCTCCATCTTCAAAGCCGCCACATAACCTCTCTCTGACCCCGCAGGCATTATCCTATCTCTGACCCTCTCTTCTGCTTCTCTCGGCCATATTGAAGACCCTTGTGATTTCATTGGGGCCACCTGGATACTCCAGGCTAATCTCCGTATTTTAAGGTCAGTTGATGACAAACCTTAATTTCCGTTTGCCATGCAAAGTAATATATTCACAGGTTCTGGGGATTAGCACATGGGCATCTTTGAGGACCATTCTGACACCATAAGCCCCAAACCTTCTCCCCTGAGAGGATCTGTTTTCTAACCCCTTCATCATCTCCTCTAAATCGTTTCCTAGGCTCAAGCAATGGGGAAGTAACAGGTCCAGGAATTAATACGATATTCTTGATGTCAGCAAAGCTAGGTGTGGAGAAAGTGGGATGTGGTCATGCGTACCGCAAACCCAGTCAATGAAGGGAGCATGCTGGGAAAATCAGAGTGATGAATTGTGAGAGCAGCAGATGAATCAAATACTGGTGACCTACCTCTGTGTTTCCAGGTGTGGATATGGTCAAAAGCCAAGTTCATCAATAGGAAATTCCTAATGCAGGAACTTTACCAGCGCTTTCTAGATGGAGATCACGGCCCTGTGGCTCGAGATGACGACCCTTTCTGGGATCCTGTCGAGGTCGTCCGCTTGGGCTCAGCTCACATCTGGCTCCAGTCGCTGGCCTACTGCATGAAGCTGGAGGAGCAAGTGGAGTTTCTGAACTGTGATGGGCTGGAGGAGGCGGTGCTGCATACCTGCATAGCACCCTGCTCCCCAACAGGACAGTGAGTGTCTCCTTCTCCCCCCTGCCTACTTCTGGGTCAGTCACACACATAAAATCCAGAGCAGGCCTGAGTTCTCCTGACGGGGTGGTCAACTTGGTACCCTGAACAGGTCATTCATAAGACAAATGAAAGAGCTCATTCATTCACCATTTGGCCTCAACGAATGTGATTTTTGCTGTCCCCTGGGGGACCTGAGGAATGAGGAGGACATCTGGCAGAGGCAGGTATAGTGGAAGGAACCTTGGACAAAACCGAAAGAGCTGGGTGGGTTCCAAACAATGGACCCTCAGGAGAGAAGCCAAGTGGGTTGCAGCGCCTCCCCAGCCACACTCCCCTCCTGGCCCTGTGGGCCTGGCATGTGCCGCGTGGGACGCTTTCCCATGCTGAGGGCCCAACCTGCTTCAAGAGCCAGAAGCAGAAGCTGATTTTCCAGCTCAGCCCTTTTCTCGAGGTAAGGACGGTGAAGCCTGACCTCATTCTGTGCTGTCACCTGACCTTTCTGTGGGCACAGGCTTTGTTTTGAGCTATTGGCTCTGTCCTAAACGTTGCCTCGTTACCCTCAACTGTCCTCTCTGGATACTCATCTGTCACAGGCAGTTTTTACAAAGCAAAAGTCTTTTAGCAACCCTAAGCCAAGAGGCTGGCGGTGGCCTGGTCTGGGTGCCAAGGCACTCAGTGCAACCTTTCCATCTTTCTGAAGAATCAGCTCAAGAAGGGAACCTCAACGTTCCGTGACCAAGAAACCAAGCTGCCCAACAACTCACTGCCTTTACTCTGATCACTTGGCTACCTCGAGCTTCTGGGCTGCCCAGCAAGTTGTATTTCTTGTTGCAAATTAATGAATTTAATTTGAAAGGTTTCAGACTTTGTGAGCCTGGTTGATAGGACAGCAGTCCCTTGTTGGAAAGCTGTCCGAGTCCGTTTCTGAGCTTGCAGAAACGGGGTTCTCTCTAGACTATAAAGAAACAAAGGAAAAGGAAAATGACAACCTGAGAGGCTGCATCTGGGCAGCCGCTGCTTTCCCACTCTGTTCCACTGGGGACCTGCCTAAATCTTCAATGCAAGTTTAGCATCCACATCTGTGTGCATCCATTGCATGACGCTGTTTATCTTCCTTTTTCCTCCAGGCAGGGAGATCCTTGAGAAGGCCTGATCTTACTTTGACGTGCCAGGGTAACGGGCTCTTGTTCAACATGTCTCTTGAATGCATGAATGAACTCTACTGATCCTGTCTACAGTGAAATTAGCTCTCTCTTAAGGATTCTATTTAACCCCCTTAACATCACAATCTTAACTTGCTTGGACCCAGCCTAACCCGAGGTCAATGTTGACCTCTTCTGTTTGTAGAACGCATGGCGAGGAGGATGTGGTTATTGACCCTTTGGAGCTGCTGGGCAAGAGGATGGATTTTCAGATTCACATTGTCCGGTGCCTTGGCGTCAACTGGATGAAGGAAGATGCAAAGCGGGGCACTCAGATAGGGTACCAGCCTGCACCGCGGAACAGAGCCACACACGCCACCTGCCGTGTGGACCCTGTGGGGGGCAGTCCAGTCTTTCTTCAAGTTTTAAAAATGAGCTTATCATAAAGTTTTCTTAAGTTTCTCTGTTTAACTTTAAGATGACTATTTCCTCCTCTATTTAATAGAGGAACTTTCTCTGTTTAACTTTAAGATGACTATTTTCCCTCATAGTTTCTCTAACTTTGAGATGACTATTTCCCAACTATTTAATAGAGGGGCCACATGTCCCTCCAGGTCTCTGGCCTGTGGTCAGTGTGTACTGAACTCTTTACAGAACTGAAGCAGAAATTCTAATTATCAGAAAGAATATCCAGTAAAACCATGTTATCTAAGCAAAACAGTTTTTAGGTTTTAGTTGGAAACAAAAGGACTGTATTATGATATGGCAGAAGCACCAGATATGCTTAAACAAATTAGGCTAAAAGGATATTGAAAGATAAGGCAGGCCAGGTGTGGTGGCTCACGCCTGTAATCCCAGCACTTTGGGAGGCTGAGGCTGGCACATCACTTGAGGTCAGGAGTTTGAGACCAGCCTGTCAACATGGTGAAACCCCAGCTCTACTAAAAGTAGAAAAATTAGCCAGGCTTAGTGGCATACGCCTGTAATCCCAGCTACTCAGGAGGCTAAGGAAGGAGAATTGCTTGAACCCCAAAGGGAGAGGTTGCAGTGAGCCGAGATCACTCCAGCCTGGGTGACAGAGCGAGACTCTGTCTCAAAATAAATAAATAAATAAATAAATAAAGATAAGGCAATAGAGACTTTGAAGAACGAAAACCAAATCACCGCCTCACATAGAAAATTAACCATTTTTGATTATCTGAGTAGAAGGGATTTATTGAAATCCATTTTGTTTGTTTTTTGTTTTTGAGACAGAGTCTCGCTCTGTCGCCCAGGCTGGAGTGCAGTGGAGTGGAGCGATCCCACCTTACTGCAACCCCTGCCTCCTGGGCTCAGCCTCCTGAGTAGCTGGAACTACAGGCATGCACCATAACACCCACCTAATTTTTGTATTTTTTACAGAGATGGTGTTTTGCCATGTTGCCCAGGCTGGTGTCAAATTCCTGGGCTCAAGCAATCTGCCTGCCTCAGCCTCCCAAAATGCTGAGATTACAGGCATGAGCCATTGCGCCCAGCCTGAGCTTTTTAAAAAAATTATTATTTATCTAGTGATGATATCCCTGTTGAGTAAGATGTTGGAGGTGATAAACATGACAATCAATCATAGGTCATCTTTTATCTGACACATGCGCTGTAAATCTTTGGCTCATCTGTCCCTTTTCTTTACAAATGTGTCCCTTCTGGTTTTAAATTATGTTTTATGTTTTTCTCAGGTACAGAATTTATGACCTTCCAAACACTATCTATACCAAACCTGTATGGAAAAGTGTGAATCCACAAATTGAAGAGACTGTCCAATTTGCAGCCTTAACTGCATCTCAGGAGTTTCTGAATTATTTGCGGACAAATGCCCTTATTGTTGACCTATGGGGCCTTCAAGGTACCTTGCTTACTTATTCTTTCATCAGACATGCCATACATTCAGGGCTGCAGAAGGGGTAGAGGAGCGAGGCAGTCAGCGTCCTAACAGCGGTGGGCCAGAGCCATCTTTTCCCCTGGGCCTCTGGGTTCTCATCCAGCAGGGTGGTTACATGCTTTAACAACTTCTCACCTGACACTGGAGCTGGGCGACTGGGATGTTTCTTTCTTTGACTGTGTCTCTCCCCATTACAGAAGGCTGCACCGAGCTGAGCTGCTCTCAGCTGGGCCTCATGGTCACAGGTGAAGGCCACATCCTGGTAGACACCAAGAAAATTTCCACTGTGAAGGATATAAGCCAGGTGTGTACATAGGACACTAAAGTGGGCATCCCAGGTGGCTAGAAAATCTCTGAGGACGGCTGCTTGACGTTCCTTCCCCCTTAACAAACGTTTTCTTTATTTACTCCTGTGTACCCTGAGGGGCTTAAACTCTGCTCACCATACACACACTCCCATCCCATTTGATTTTCCCATGGTAGCAAACATTGCCAGTCTCAAAGGATATGCAGATGATACAACAAAAGACGAAACTGACATGTTTTCTGGTAGGCAGCATCAAACCAGATACCAGAACTTTATCTGAAGCTGCTCAAGCTAGAGCAGGAGACGGAACCGCTCAGGAACATTAACAGAGCCCTGAGAGAGGAGAACGTGCTTCTCAAAGCATCACTTGCGAAAACTGCTTCTGGTCAAGGTGAGAGACTGCTCCAGTCTTGGCTGTTTAGCTTATCCCTAGACTCCTACATTTGGGATGTGTATTTGTCTTTTAAGAAACAAACTTTTAAATGAGTTAATTCGTATCTTCTTTCATAAACAAAAAATGCCGGACATTTCTTCTGCCCTGTGAGATTTCCCCTTTCCCTTGGATGGATCCAAACTGGTGCCTGATAAATGCTGATGCAGTAGAATGCCACCAAAATAAATATAGAGATGCCCAGAGAAAGAGATACATAAATCAATGTTACCTTTTTCCACCTCAGCCCCGAAGCCTTCCAACACTCTGAAGATCAGCGGGATGACTGCGCAACTGCCATCCGCCGGGGAGATGAGCCAAATGTGCACACAGCAAGCCGGCTCTGACCGAGAGCTTGCCAAGGCTCTGAAGGTGTTCTACCAAAGCATGAACACGGCAAGAGGGCAGCTTTTCAGACTCAGACGGCACCAACCTCCGGTAAGGAACTGGAATCCTGGGAGCACACAGAATTTCTTTCCATCCAATTTAGACATTTGATGTAACTGCATTTCCTGAGCTTGGAGACGTATATGCTGAAGCGGAAGAGCAAGGCGAGGAGGCCCTGCTTGACCTGCTCTGTTAGCGCGAATCTGCTGCCCTCTCAGGCCGCCGTCCGTCTCTGCTCTGACCTTTTTATTTGAGTGCACATCCGGCTGGCTCCACGCTACCACGGTCACTGCACGACTGATACCCACTCACTTTACAATGCAATATACAGACTACCCTGTTTGGTTTATCATTATAAAACCCAATGTAATTCATCATATTAAGAGATTATAAGATAAAATAATTTGATTACTTCAACAGATGCAGAAAAAGATGTGGCCAAATTAAACATCCTATGACAATAAAAATTCTCGGCAAACTAGGAATAAAATGGACATTCCTTAATCTGATAAAGGCAATCTTAAGACAAACACACAGTGGACAAAATGCTTAGTGATGAATGACTGAAAGCTTTTCTTTTCAGATCAGGAGGTCAGGGATGCCAGCTTTCTTGACCTCTGTCCTTTAGGTTCTAGCCAGTGCAGTAAGGAAAAGAAATACAAAGTATGACTGGAAAGGAAAGAAAAGTAATTACAATAATAGCATACACTTATGTAACACTTACAACCTGCTTTACATTTACTGTCTCAATTCTCACAGCAACCCTATGAGGCAGGTACTATTATTCACCTTATTTTACAGTTCATGGAACGTGTCTAAAGACACATGACTCATCTGTGGCAGCGCTGAGGTCCAGACCCTGCCGGTGCTGTTCCCCAGTCTATACTGCGCTGCCTCTAGTATCATCCCAGATGACCTGCTTGTATAGACAGAAAATCCCCAAGAATTTGTAAATGAATTACAAAGTTGCTAGATACAAAAATCAAGATTTAAAAATTAACTGTATTTGAATATAACAGCAGCAAGCAGAAAATTATTTTTAAAATAAAAGACACCATTGATAATTGCATCAAATATATGGAATACTTAGGCCTATAGCTGACATAAAATATGTAAGAGTTGTACGGAGAAAATTTTAAAACTTATTTGAGAGATGTTTAAAAGGATATAAATAGATAGAGAAACTGCCATCTCTCCGTGGTTTGGAAGATTTGTTATTGTACATCTGTCAACTCTTCCCCAAGAGTCATTGTAATTCCAATCAAGTGTAATAGAACCTAACAAGATAATTCTACAATTTGTATGGAATTGCAAAAGCAAAAACTAGCCAAGATGAGACCAGACCCAAGAACAAGACAGAAAGACTTGCCCTACCTGATATCAACACTTCATTTTAATGCCTCTGTAACAGAGGCAGTAAGGTAAGGTGTTGGCCCAAAGATAGATAAATAACCAAAGAAAAAGAACAGAAGGCTCAGAAACAGATTTATTCAGGACTACAGACTTGATATACAACCGAGTGGAACTGCAAATCAATGTGGCAAGGATGGACTTTTCAATAAACAGTGCTGGGGAATTAGGAATATGTATGGGGACAAATGAAACTGGATTCCTATCTAAAACTACCCCAGAAATCAATTTCAGGTGAGAATTAAAGAGCTAAATGTGGAAGGCACAACCCTAATGCTTTTATTTATTTATTTAAATATTTTAAAAATAGAGATGGGGTTCTTGTTATGTTGCCCAGGCTGGTCTCGAACTCCTAGCTTCAAGCAATCCTCCCGCCTCAGCCTCCCAAAGTGCTGGAATTACAGGCATAAGCCACCATGCCCTGCCTCAAATGCTTTCAGAAGATACTTTAGGAGACTGTCTTTACGACCTCACAGTGGAAAAGGATTTCTTATGCATGACACACACACACACACACACACACACACACACACACACACACACCCCCCTAGCTTTAAAGAGGGAGACCGATAAAGTCAGCTAAATTAAAATGGTGAACTTTGGTGCATCAAAAGACACCAAAATGAAAAAGCCAGAAGGAATGGGAAAAGTTCTTTGCAACACGTTTAACATATAATGAACTAATATCCAAAATAAAGAACTACTAACCAAAAAGAAAAATAGACAACCCAATAGAAAAAAAAATGGTCAAAAGATTTGAACAGGAACTTCACAAAAGAGGAAATTAAAAATGCCAATAAATATATGGAGAAGTGCTTAATCGCATTAATAGTTTGGGAAATACTAACTGATACCACAATGAGATACCATTATTAACCTTCCATACTGGCAAAAATTAAAAAGCTTGACAATATCAAGTTTTGGTGAAGATATGAAGTAACAGAAACTCTCATGTATGGCTGAGAGGAGTATAAATTGGTACAACCATTTAAAAATTATTTGGCATTTACTTATTAAAAGTTGAAGATACTAGAACCTAGAAGCCTGCAATTCAACTCTTCCTTCCTTCACAGCTGAACTGGTTCTGCAGAGTTAAAGCCCTAATGCCTCAGGCAGAGATTCTCGAAGTGTGCCCTATGGCCTAGCAGCTTCAGCAGCATCTAGGAACTTGTCAGAAATGCAAAATCCAGGGCCCCACCCCAGACCTACTGAATCAGAATCTCTGGGTGTGAGGCCTAGTAACACGTGTTTCAACAAACCCTCTCCATGATTCTGCCTTCAAGTTTGAGAACCTACTGCACTGAGGCATCTGACATACGAAATAAGCTAACTCTGTCATATGTGTCTAGGATGGCACTAGTTACACACCATTCTTGAAAGAACTGAGAAAACAGTTATTCAAATCACTTCCGTTCTGTGGTTCAGATGAGGGGCCAGTTGAAAAACACTACAGAAATCTTAGTTGATGTGCACTGCTGTTCATAAAACCCTCTTCCATAGTAGCCCCAAACTGGAAACATCCCTAATACATGTTCACCGAAGACGGGTAAATTTTGGCCCCTCTATGCTGTGTAACACTACATTGCCATGAAAGTGAACAACAGCCACAGGCAACAAGAAGAGTCTTCCAATAGTGATGGAAACCAAGTTACGAAAGATGACATCCAACATGATTCTATAAACATTCAAAGAGGGCAAAATATACTGTTTAGGGATATACTCTAGGTGGCAAAACTATTGAGAAAGGCAAGAAAATGGTGACCACACAAGTCAGGCTGGCAGTTGCTTCTGGGACAGGAAGAAGGTGACAGGAGGAGTTCCAGGCAGTGGGCTCTCTAGAGCAGGTGTGTTCACTTTAGGCCTGTCAATATATTTAGGGTACTTTTCTGTTCTACGTAGCTCACAATAAAAAAGAATAACTGGTTAAATGAAAGACACCTTAAACAAAGTTTCAAATAAACCACAGCCTGGAAAATATATTAATATTATTTAGCAAGCATTAGTATTCAGAATAAACTATTACTTTTAAGATTTAAAAAAAGATAATATGTTGGAAAGCACATTCGAAAAAAATCGGCAAAGGATTTGAACAGGCATTTCACTAATACTCAGGGAAATAGAAACTGAATCCCAGTGCCACTCTCTGCTGTTCCCATTTTCAGTGAGTGCGGTACCATCTCCTCCATCACGTCACACTACCTGCTCTCTGCTGTTCCCATTTTCAGTGAGTGCGGTACCATCTCCTCCATCACGTCACACTACCTGCTCTCTGCCGTTCCCATTTTCAGCCAGTGCGGTACCATCTCCTCCAACACTTGTCTCCAGGACTCTGCCCCAGGGCATCCCTAGTTCTCAGGGGTACTTGCCTCCACAGGTTAGGGGAAGCATCGGCAAAACCCTACCAATGGGAGAGCCCCTACACCCACTGGCCCCTCAAGACTCCTTTAATACTCCTTCGACAGTATTAAAACACTAAGGAAGTAACATTCCAGTGGAAAATATTTGACTTATCTCACCAGTTTTCCCTACTGGCAGTAACTTAGGGTCATCCGAAACAAAACTGCTCCTAGGTGACTTACTGCCTCTGCTAGCAGCTTTCAAAAGCAGTTTTCTATCCCAAAGGGGAACTTAGTGGGCACCCCACTCATACACACACATTTTTTACTGATGACATGAAATCTATCACTATAATTTTTTTCACTTTTTTTTTAGGAAGTTGATCAAATGCTTCGACCGTTTATACACCAACGGTCACAGATGTTTAAGGATTTGGGGGATCTACGTGAATCCAGCTTGTGGACACTGAAAATGACGTTGCTCTTATAGTGAAAAAGAAGCGAGAATATTTACTGCACATCAAATAGTGAAGACACACCAGCTGAACACTGAGGGTATTTGAGCTTCGAGTTGTGAAGATGATTTGTGTAGCTAGCAAGCTTACCTCATTTCCCACTTACTTTACCTATTTCTTCTACCAGTTTTAAGCAAAACTCTCCTTCCATGTGACTGTAAATCATCTCTATAACCTAAAGGCTGCTTGAATGGCCCTATGTTCCTGACGCGTAGGGGGAGCCACACACACTGGGGTCTCTTTGAGGTTGGAGGGTGGGAGGAGGGAGAGGGTGAACGATTAGCACTCGGAGCTCGGGGATCAGACTGCCGAGGGTTAAATCCTGGTTAAGTCCATCACTTATCAACTGCAGGATTTGGGGCCACTGACTTCCCCTCTCTAAGCCTCTCTTTCCTCACTTGTTTTGTGGGAAGGAAAACAGTATTTACTGCAAATGGTTAATGAACATAAAGCACTTAGAACAGTGCCTGACACACAGACATGATTGATAAGCATTCACCATTAATATTTTTAAGGTAAACAGTTCAAAACTTCAAATGAAGCTCTTCTATCTCTATTTCTTGCTGTCAGACCTACAGACAATGGTTATTTCACGTCTCTCGTTTTGTATCTTTCTCTGAACAAGTTTGAATTCTACCTCCACTTAGTTTCATCTTCTCATAGGTTTATCTGAAATACTGTTATGTTCAATTTTCTCAGCAGCAGGAGTGCCCATATGATGGGACCTTTTCAGTGTAGAGTCTGCGGTTCAGGGATTGTAACTGTTAGTGAAAAAGTCTACTAGGAGTTAGTCTATCTTGAAGCCAGTCTTGATTCCACAAATTGACTGATGGGTCTTAGTCAAGGATATGATAAAAAGCTCAACACCACTGATCATTAGAGAAATGCAAACCCAAACCACAATGAGACACCATCTCACACCAGTCCGAATGGCTATTATTAAAAAGTCAAAAAATAAAAGATGCTAGGCTGGACACGGTAACTCACGCCTGTAATCCCAGCTCTTTGGGAGGCTGAGGCAGGTGGATCACCTGAGGTCAGGAGTTCGAGACCAGCCTGACTAATATGGAGAAACTCCAACTCTACTAAAAATACAAAATTAGCCAGGCATGGTGGTGCATGCCTGTAATCCCAACTACTTGGGAGGCTGAGGCAGGAGAATCACTTGAACCCGGGAGGCAGAGGTTGTGATGAGCCAAGATCGTGCCATTGCACTCCAGCCCAGGCAACAAAAGCAAAACTCCGTCTCAAAAAACAAACAAAAAACAGATGCTGGCGAGGTTGCAGAGAAAAAGGAATGCTTACACACTGTTGGTGAAAGTGGAAATTAGTTCAACCGTTGTGGAAAACGGTGTGGTTCTTCCTCAAAGACCGAAAAACAAATACCTTCTGACCCAGCAGCCCCATTACTGGGTAGATACCCAAAGGAATATAACTTGTTCTGTTATAAAGACACACATGTATATGTTCATTGCAGCACTATTCACAATAGCAAAGACATGGAATCAACCTAAAAGTCCATCAATAGTAGACTGGATAAAGAAGATGTGGTAGATATACACCATGGAATGCCACGTAGCCATAAAAAGAATGAGATCATGTCTTTTGTAGGAACATGGATGGTGCTGGAGGTCATTATCCTCTGCAAACTAATGCAAGAACAGAAAACCAAATACCACATGTTCTCACTTATAAGTGGGAGCTAAGTGATGGGAACACATGGACACATAGAGGAGAACACCAAACACTGGGGCCTCTCAGAGGGTGGAGAGTGGGTGGAAGGAGAGGGTCAGGAAAACTAACCAATGGGTACTAGGCTTAATACCTGGGTGACAAAATAATCTGTACGACAAACCCCCATGTCACTTTACCTATATAACAAACCTGCACATGTACCCCAGAACTTAAAAAGTTAAAAAAAAAAAAAAAGAAACGTTTTGTGGCCAAAGACAAACTACTACTACTTCTTCTTCTTTTTTTTTTTTTTTGAGACGGAGTCTTGCTCTGTCACCCAGGCTGGAGTGCAGTGGTGTGATCTCAGCACACTGCAACCTCTACCTTCTGGGTTCAAGCAATTCCTCTGCCTCAGCCTCCCTGAGTAGCTGGGATTACAAGGCATCCGCCACCAGGCCCAGCTAAATTTTGTATTTTTAGTAGAGACGAGGTTTCACCATGTTGGCCAGGCTGGTCTCAAACTCCTGACCTCAAGTGATCCACCCGTCTCGGCCTCCCAAAGTCCTAGGATTACAGGCATGAGCCACCGTGCCCAGCCCAAAGACAGACTTCTAATAACAACAGTAGTGATGACGTTGAAACTTAGTAAGTGCTTACACCATGTGCCAGGCACTAATCCAAGTGCTAAACATGTTAGCTCATTTAATTCTCACAATAATTCGATGAAGTTGAGTAACATGCCCAGGCCACTGTAAGCACAGAGGCTGATGCCAGAGCCTGCATTCCTAACTGTGATGGCCTGCTGCCTGACGGTGCAGGACTGTCCCTGGGAGTCCTGGCTGACATGCAGAAAAAATCAGGAAGGAGAAAATAAGGGGCGACAACCTCAATCCTTGCTCCCTAAAATATGAAGTTAAGGAAGGTCAAATAGGATGACGCCGAAGCTGCACTGGCAGGAGAGGCTGTCAAGGGCTCCAAAAAGGAACCTCTAGAAAGACAAAGGAATCTGGGCTAGTGATTTCAGCTTAAGAGCAGGGTCCAAGGATTCGTAAGGGAGGCATGGGTTTTGCTTGCAGCTCAGGTCCTGACCACATACACAAGTGAACTAAAAAAACTGCTGTAACCCTGGAACCCAAGCGTGGAGCACCTCGTGGTGACAGCCAGGACAGGGCCAGCAAAGGCATCACGGAATCCTGGGAAGACTCTGTCAGTGAGACCCCGTAACAGTAGAGGCTAGGCAGACTCCAGTCCTCTGGGCCTGGCCACTGGGAGCAGGAATGGCTTCTGTCTCTTGAACTGAGCCTCAACATTTTGGACAATTAGCAGTTTACTCACCTGAGGTGAGTCATATACTTTCAGCAAATGGGAGCAGGCAGAACCTTGGGGGATTAAAAGGAAAATCAGGATGAGACACACATGTACCTCAAGCCAGAGGATGGGGTCACACTGCTACCTTCAGAATCAGAGTCAATGCTCGAGCATACATTGCAAAGCTAGAAACAGGGACAGGATATGCAGCTTCACCCAGCGGTTCCCAAATGCATATCAAAAACACAGAGGCTTCGACCTCCCGCCCTCCTGAACGCAAGTTGCTGCAGGCACGGAGGAACCTGTTACTGTTTCGTGATTCAGATGTGCAGCTAGTCGTGGGCTCTATTGCTCCTGTACTGCTTTCTAATTTCACAGCCGATAAAACCTTTTCTAAGGTCCCACAAGTTAGGGCACAGCTGAGGATCTGTATCTTGTGATGACCAGGCCAGGACAGAGGAAGCAGAGTTAGGGTGGGGAATACTACCACCAAGAACACCCTCTTCGAGTTAGATACCCCCCGCTTCTTCTTACAGGCCTCTTTGAGTTAGATACCCTCCCCCACTTCTCCTTACAGGCCTCTTTGAGTTAGATACCGCCCCCTCTTCTTCTTACAGGCAGAGCAGAAGGGTCTCCCAACACAAATAATATTCCTAAATATTTTATGTTCCTCACTTTTTGGTAGAAATTCCATAAAGGAGTGGCTGTCTTGTTTAGGTAATGAACAACATGATTGCTATGTATATACGTGTTTATTATATGCTTATTACAAAAGAAAAAGTCTTTTGCCTTATTTTAGGGCTTCCATGTAAAACCTAGTTAAAATACAAAAAGTAAATTAGAGAAAAATTCTGCTTAGGTAGTGAAAATTGATAGCAACTTATAAGCTGTATCCTTAAAAACCTAGTCACAGATATAGAATTACGTAAAGATAAAATGATAAGCCTACTTATTGGCAAGAAACAGGTTAGGCCACTTAAGCAGCATGTTTCTACCACTATACAAATACATCGGCAGGTCCAAACATTAAACCACCATTCGATTGACAACCTTTTATTTTTCAACTTAGGTAACAGTCCAAAATCAGTGTAGATTGGCGAAAAACTAGGCAAAAATAGCAAAAAGTGCAGTTTAATTTAGCAAAGGCTCAAGACAGTATGTGGAAGGAAGGTGAGATTTCCCTCCTACTGCGGCAAGGCAAGCGGCAGTTACTGCCCGACAGTAACGATGGTGTGCGCACCCCCGATGAGAATGCTGCTGCAACACAGACTGGGACGCCGCCTCCCCCATTAGACCTGCCAGCTCATTCGTGAAAATCTACCAGGAACACATCAATGAAAAAAATATGTCAAATATGAGTTCTCTGTTATAAGCAATAAAATCACAAAATCAACTCAGATTTGAAATTTAGGGTAAGCTAGGACAATTTCCTACTTTTTAATATATAGATATTTTAGATTTGACAATCGTTTCCACATACACTCAGACAGGCTTACAGAAGAATTTCAAATATCAAATAGAGAAGCTGTTAATTCACGCACGTTATGACTTCAGTTAATTCTTCCAGTGTTTAGACTTCAGAGCTGCTAATAACACTAAACTCAATACCGTGTTTGTTGAGTCTGTCAATCAACTTTGTTTTGGAAAAAGCTGCTCCAGGTGTGAAGACCCCGCCCCTATAAAACAATAACAAGAGAAAACAGTGCACTCAGCTCCTCTCCAGTCTCCTATTTCACAGGCCTCACTATCAAATTGCTACAGAACCCCTGAAAACCCAAGTCTTCATGGTAATCACGGCTACCTTTGATTCCTTCCTAAAATCAGCCAAATGAGCAAGTAGCTATTAGTCAGGAGAAACTTGCACCACAGCCAACCCTATCTAGACTGGCTCTGTTCCTGGAGATACTGTTTCCATTCTATGCATGTGTTTGGTGGGTGCACTGTGCGCCATCACCCCGAAGAACCGCTGCTGTTTACAAGGACAGTCCTCAGACTTAGGGGGATTAAAGAAAGACCCGAATGGAATAAATTTAGATAATCAATTATTATGAAAGTGTAAACAGAACTTAAATTGGATGAAAAAGAAGTTTTTAAAAATATAATAGCTAACATTCATAAATGCTAAATATTTTCAAGGGGGACCTAGGTATTTGAAAAAATTTAATTAGATTTTACTATATACAAATTTTACTTTTATTAATCCTGTTTTAGGTCATGCCTGGTTTACTTCTCAGCAGCAGGCCTCTGCTCATTTGAAAAGCTGGCCTAGTTTTAGGGGGACAGCTAAATGCTCCAGTAAGACAGTACGTCTGAAAATCATCTAGCCAGGATCCCATGGTTCCATTTATGCTGGTGTCAGTCAGGGTTACTACTGCCAGCTGGGTATAGTTAGGCACTGATTGGAAGCTCCTAGTAATACTATTAACAACAGGGACTTTTTTGAGTGGCTGACTCTGGACTTGAGGTATCTTTATAAAGGGCTGAAGTTAACTCATGGCTCTCCAACTTTTCTGTCTCCTCTCATTTACCTCCACAGTTGTTCCTCTGAGACCAACTCTGGGCTGGTAAGAAGCTGTCCTTCTCACAGTTTTAATTTACCTATATTTTTGAAGCAAAGGAACTGAACTATAAATGCTTACATGCAAACCCAAAGCCTGAAAATCAAATCAAAATAAGCTAAAATATAACATAGATAAAAAAGATCTTCTAATTGGAAGAAAACCAAACTTACGCCTTAGGCAGATGAGAAGCATCACTTAGAAGAGTCATGGCTGCCTGAACCATAGCTATGGGGGTAGCCACATAGCCAGCCTCTGCAGAAAACAGTTGATCAGGGAAAAAGAAAGGAATCATGAAGTACCCATTCAACAACATCAAAAATCAAATGGTAGATTTTATATCTTACTCTAGGTGTGCAGATTTTTTTCAATAGATACTCTGGTCACTTAACAAAAATAACATATCGAAAGTATTTATTAAGTGTTAGGAACTGTACTAAGTGCTTTAGGTCTATTAAACTCATTTAATTTTCATAACAATTATTTAAGGTCAATATTACTTTTATCCCATAGAGAGAGAGGTTAAGTGACTTGTCCAAACTAACAGGTAGTGACTGAGCCAAAATCACACCCAGGCAGCTGGTTCCAGAGTCCACACTCCACCCACTGCACTGCACTGCTTCTTGACAATCATTGAAGCCAATGATCCTAGGTTTTTTGTTTCTCTATTGTACACTGAGCCGATCCCTATCTGTATTCACACACTTCACTTAAAAACAACAAAAAAATCCTCTCAATTTTTTCTTAAAGAATAACGACTAAACATAAGTTAAAAAAATGTTTATAAACAAACGGAACATTAGCATTTATAATCCTGTCAAATAATGAAAATACAGTCAACTTACCTTAAAAAGTCAGGTGGGAATTTCAGAAAAGGGCAAGATGGAAACATACTATCATCTGGCTTGATTAAAATCCCCCGTGGGCCAGGCATGGCAATTCATGCCTGTAATCCCAACCCTTTAGAAGGCTGAGGCAGGAGGACTGCTTGAGCCCAGCCTAGGCAACATAGTGAGACCCCGTCTCAATAAAAAATTATAGCCTGTGACCTAAAAGGGCTGACAGTAATTATACTACAGTTCACAAGTGGACCTGTCTGTCTCTGACAGTAATTATACCACAGTTCACAAGTGGACCTGTCTGTCTCTGACAGTAATTATACCACAGTTCACAAGTGGACCTGTCTGTCTCTGACAGTAATTATACCACAGTTCACAAGTGGACCTGTCTGTCTCTGACAGTAATTATACCACAGTTCACAAGTGGACCTGTCTGTCTCTGACAGTAATTATACCACAGTTCACAAGTGGACCTGTCTGTCTCTGACAGTAATTATACTACAGTTCACAAGTGGACCTGTCTGTCTCTGACAGTAATTATACCACAGTTCACAAGTGGACCTGTCTGTCTCTGACAGTAATTATACCACAGTTCACAAGTGGACCTGTCTGTCTCTGCATAGTTCTGTAAAATGTACAGCAAAAGTTCTTGAACGTTTTGGGCAACATTCTTTTAACAACCTATCAGAAGCCATTCCCTTCCCTTGAAAAGTGCACGTGTGCATACATATTTTACAAACAATGTCAGGGTGTTCAGAGACTCTAAAGAAATCCTAGAGCACAGATTTGACTGACATTATAATTACACTACTTGCATATGAGATTCAAACAGGTGAATATCAACCAATCCCTTTTCCTATTAATACTAATTAAAATTTGCCATTCTGAATTACTGAATCATACTCCAAAAACAGCCAGAGGGAGGGATGCACTAATAAAATTGGATTATATCAATAATTTCAATCTTCCTTTGACAGAATAATTTTAAGTTACTTAATTTGTACAAATGTATTTCTAAAACAATTAAGCTTTAAAAAGAATATATTGTAATGGCATTGTACTTTATAGCTTAAGAGTATAAAATTCCCAAGCATTCTTAAGTGATATGTGAAATACCTGGTCCTTTCACCTGAGTACAAATTTTGATATTTGGTTTGTTCTTATCTGTACCAGTGCCTTGGCTGTATCCTTGACCAAAGAATGTCAGCGTGAATGAGGCAGCATCAATCTGTGAAGGAGAAGGCAAAGGGCGCATTTCATAAATACGTCATTTCCTCCTGGAACATAGTAAAACCGACTATTCTATTTCAAGTGAGACATTGTCAATAGATGAAAACATTATTTTATCTGCCAGAATATCCCGTCATCATTTAAGCAGGGAGCGAAAACTAATTCTTTGAAGCTGTCAGTTTTGAAGACTGGCGTGATGTTGGGGGGAAGGGGAGTGGTAAGAAATAGGGAGGAAATAAAGATGATCTGGAGATAGTTTTTATCGGGGGGCAGAATATAGAAATCTGGTTTTAGATACCTATTTGAGGCGACAAGACAAAAATAGCCAGCAAGTAATGGAAATATGGGCCTGGAGTATAGGTATATAATTGTTCCACTTAAAGATGTAAAAATTCGACTCAAAAAACTAAATTCTTGAGGACTTATCCTAGCATCTTTCACAATCACTAAATTTAGGAATGAGGTGATAAAGAATTCAATCATGATCAACACATTTTTATGAAGTATCAACTAAGGGTCAGATACCATTGAGGCCCTGAGACATAATTACTGCCTTTGCTGGAGCTTACAGTTTAGTAGGAGGAAAGGGGGGGAGAGAGAGATAAACAGATTAAATAACAATGTGACATGAACTAAAACATACAGGCATAACTCAGAGGAGGGTGTTATTAATCTACCAGGGCAGAGGGCAATGGTTCTGAACTGTATATATACACACACACAAACACATTTTAATGGTTGTTTTAAAACCCCAAAAGTAGATGGATTCCAGAAAGGAGAACCCATTATTTAAAGGGAAGAAGGGATGCAGTAGCATAGCCTTTCCAGAACATACAATTCAAGAGGTACAGACAAGGTCAGACACACATGCCACACCTGTCCCATCTCCTGCTATGGCGCCCACACTAATGGGTTCTAATCCTCTCTCAGGCTACACACATTGTCCGACCCAGCATAGTCTCTGGGTGGCTACTATCAATTAATCAAAGTTGGATGAAAAATGAATCCTATGTGCTATCCAGAACTAGATCATGAAGGGTCTAGGATGGCCTCACATCTCTGAAGATGGACTTTCGGCCATTTGTGCTCCAGGGGTGGGTACCAAAACCACTCAAATCTGGAACCTTCTTCCTTCCTCCGCAGTGGTGATTCTCAACCCTGGCAGCACATTAGCATCACTGGGCAGATTTAGAGAGCCCCAGTGCCCAGGCTGCATTCCAGACCAACCGAACCAGAGTCTCTGGTCATCTGTTTTGGGTTCTCTTCCAAAGTTGGGAACCACTGCTCTATGCTTTCAGGCCCCACTCCAGACCTACTGAATCAGAACGTCCAGAAGCAAGATGAGGGCATGTGTCAGTGAAAAAAGCTTCCTAGGTGATTCTTTTTTTTTTTTTTTTTTTTTGGAGAAGGAATCTCGCTGTGTTGCCCAGGCTGGAGTGCAGTGGTGTGATCTCAGCTCACTGCAAGCTCCACCTCCTGAGTTCAAGCAATTCTCCTGCCTCAGCCTCCTGAGTAGCTGGGACTACAGGCGTGCACCACCATGTCCAGCTAATTTCTGTATTTTTAGTAGAGATGAAGTTTCACCTGTTGGCCAGGCTGGTCTTGAACTCCTGACCTTAAGTGATCCACCTCCCTCAGCCTCCCAAAGTGCTGGGATTACAGGTGTGAGCCACTGCGCCCGGCCATGATTCTGATATATGAAATCTCAGTTAAGAATCACTGCCAAAGCAGTGGGCCAGGAACATTTTATAAAGAAGGCAATGACAAGGTCAGATTTTGTGTCTTAGAAAGATCTCTTGGACAGCAGTGGGAAGACAGATTAGAAAGAAACCGTAGGAATGCTACGAAAAGTTCAAGCAAGAGATGGAAGCCTGCACTACCAACCACGAGACAGAAGCCTGCACTATCCACAAAGTAAAACGGCAACCCAAAGAATAACAGAAAATATTTTCAAGTCCTTCTGTTCATTTTTGAATTAGGTTGTTTTTTGTTATTGAGTTCTAGGAGTTCTCTATATTTTCTGGATATGAATCTTCTGTCAAATATATGATTTGAAAATATTTTCTCCAAAGAAGACATACAAATGGCCAATAATTGCAAATGAAAAGATGTTCAACACTAATAATCATCAGGTAAATGCAAATCAAAAATACAATGAGACACCACCTCACGGCCATTACAGAAAATAACAGATGTCGGTTTGGAAGCAGAGAAACTGGAACTCTCGTATACTGCTTGTGGGAAGGTAAAACGGTGCAGCAGCTCTGCAGAACAGTTTAGTGGTTCCTCAAGAAGTTAAATATACAATTCACATACGGTCTAGCATTCCATTTCTGAGTATATGCCCAAAAGAATTTAAAGCAGAGTCTTGAAGAGGTATCTGTACACCCATGTTCGCAGCAGCATAACTGGCAATAGCCAAAAGCTGGAGGCAACACATGTGTTCACTGATGAATGAATGGATACACAAAATGTGATCCAGACAGGCAACAGACAATCATTCACCCTTAAAGAAATTCGAACACATGCTTACAATATGGATGAACCTTGAAGACCTTACGCTAGGTGAAATAAGCCAGTCACAAAAAGACAAAGACTGATTCCATTTACATGAGGCACTTGGAGTCATCAAATTCATAGAGACAGAAAGCGGAATGCGGTTGCCGGGGCTGGGGGAGGGCGGAAATGAGGAGTTATTGTTTCACGGGTGTAGAGTTTCAGTTGTGCAAGATGAAAAGTGTTCTGGACATGGATGGTGGTGATGGCTGCACAAAAAGATGAATGTACTTAATACCACTCAGCATTTTTAAATGGTTAAGATGGTACATTTTATGTTTTGTGTATTTTACCACAATAAGAAGAAAAAAGAGGCCGGGCGCAGTGGCTCACGCCTGTAATCCCAGCACTTTGGGAGGCTGAGGCAGGTGGATCACGAGGTCAGGAGTTCAAGACCAGCCTGCCCAACTTGGTGAAACCGTGTCTCTACTAAAAATACAAAAAAATTATCCGGGCGTGGTGGCGCATTCCTGCACAGTGCCTACATTAAGTGCACAGGCGGGGGATTAGCCTTGTACAGGGAACATATCATCCAGAGAGGAGGAAAGAAGGTCGGGATGGAACAATGATGCTACGTTAAGTGCACAGGCGGGGATTAGCCTTGTACAGGGAGTATATCATCCAGAGAGGAGGAAAGAAGGTCAGGATGGGAACAATGATGATAGGTCTGAGAGTAGGAATTTGAGGGGATACAAAACAGTGCTCTCAATTATTTTAGTGAGGTAGGAGTTGGGATAATTTACAGATAGGGAAGACAGCTGCAGTTGGGTAGATTTTGAAGAAAGCCACTGAGAGGAGATAAGAGGCAAGACTAACGAAAAGGAAAAGAATCAGCAAGTGATGCTAACATTCCACAGAGGGGGAAACGGGAACTTGCTGCTACCATCTGTTCAGCAGTGGGATTTCCCCCAGGAGTGCCTGGTGTCAAGGAGATGAAAGCTAATGACCCAAGGCCTGAGCCAGGGTTGGGATCTGTAAGCCAAACGGTAGAAAATGAGGCAGTCCTATTGTTGGGGATGCTGGACACACAGAAATTCACTTGATCCCCCGTCGGAATCCAGGGTATGTGGAAGAGGAAGTGAAACTGGGGGCAGAGGAGGCACAAAGGAAAAGATAACAGAGGAGAAAAATGGAGGAAGAAGAATATTTGAGATTTCTGGAAGTGAAGAGAACACAATTTCTGGAGCTAAATGGCTGGGTTCTCATCCCAGCTGGGCCATGTACTACCTGGAGAAACTTGGGCAAGTTTCTTAGCCTCTGTGTGCCTCAGTTCTCTGATGTGTAAAATGGAGATAATAATAATACCTACATTCAAGGGGTGTTTGAAAAGATTGAATAATCTAATTTACATAAAGAACTTAAAAGAGTATCTGAAACATAGTGCCCTGTCAAGTGTTAGATGATACCGTCATTGCACAAAGAAAAATATTATTTTAGTGTCTTAATACAAAAGAAATTACCTGTTTTTGTGTTGGGCCTTGTTTTGAAAAATAGCCAAAGGAGAAGAACCATGGGAACTAAAGGGAAAAAAAAACCGTCAGTGATATTTTTTTAAAACTCATGGAAAATACTTCTAATAAAAATAATCTAATTTCATAAAATCTTACTTACTTTTATGAGAAGTTGCCTTCCAATTCCAAACCTCACAAAGAACAAAAAGAAAAGTCCTGCAAACATCAGCTTAATAACAGAGGTGATGCCTCCCACAGTTACATACGCAGCATACTGAACCTAGATGATGGAGAAGACAAAGTTAGAACATTACTCCCTACATTTTGGACCAAGTAAGAATGTTAGTTACTTGTACCTTTCTCTTCCATCACAAATGTGGAACAAAAGCAGTTTCCACTTTACAAATGCATTATGTTCTGAAATCTTGTTCAGAAACCAGACATTGGGAGCCTATTTTTTGTTTGTTTTGTCAGACCTGGTGAACAGGAAGTATGATAGTCTACTTTTTAAAGAAAATTGTTTATAAATAGTAATTAGCTTCCCCTACTTGGGCACAAAAATCTACATAATCCCTAATATATCTGAGCTTAGCAATCATACATTACAGAACGTAGACTCCTATAAGAAAATGCCCTCCACCTTTTAACTTGAAATATAATTTCCTCCTGAAGTCTCGGCAATGAAAGCAATTACTTTCCTCGCCAAAAGCAGCAGGATGGAACTCCAGGCGTGGCAAGGAGAGAGGGGACAGAAAGGGTTCCAGACATTTCCACAAGCAAAAGAGTTTCTAGCAACTGAAACCCTAAACAGGGATTCTGGGGTGCTTATGACAGCAGGATTTCCCGTATTGAATTTGCTGCTATTGTGTTACATTAAAAAGATATTCAGCAGCCAGATCTGAATCAAAAGACAAGGTTATAAAATACAAAATGTTCTACCCTAATGATTCTGTGTATTTCCAGAGGCTGAAACATGTATTACTTAGCTCTTCCTTTTTCTGCCTTATAAACAAAAATATCCCACACTGAATAGAAAGAGGAACTGTAACACACACTTTATTGATAAATAAACCATATATACTTACTGGTGATTCCTCTAAATTTTCATACAAGTAACGTTGAGTCCTCCTTACAACAGACACATCAGATCCCATAAAAGGAATGGAATAACCTTTGAGTTCCCGACAATAAGAAATTGGCCACCTGCAAGACAGACCTATGAATATTTTGCATTTCCTGCAATTACAACTTTGGCTGGTAAATGTCTGAATAAGCAAATCAGTGGCAGGGCATGGTGGCTCATGCCTGTAATCCCAGCACTTTGGGAGGCCGAGGCAGGAGGATCACTTAAGGCCAGGACTTTGAGACCAACTTGGGCAACAAAGAGAGACTCTGTCTCAAAAGAAAAAAAAAACCAGAACGCTCCTTTCAACAGCCCAACCCTAAATTCTTACCTCTAAACTTCTCACATATGTCCTGCAGTATAAAACTAAACTAAAATAAATTTTTAAAAAAGAAAAAAAGTTCTCACATAAAATTTAGTTGACAGTTAATTTCTATATTGATAGTGAAAAGTCATCATAAGATTCACTTATTTCCTAGGATTCACATGTTTTATTACACACGAAGTACTTAAGCTTATGGTAATGGATTAATTATGTCTTATTTATCTTAAGCTTATGGTAATGGATTAATTATATCTTATTTATCTCAAGCATATGGTAATGGATTAATTATATCTTATTTATCTGTGAAAACAATTCTGAACTTACTACAAATTAGTCTCCAAGCTTTTCTTAGTAACATACTTTATTAATAGCCAACCCAACAACAATATACTTAGACTAGATATATAAAAAATGGATTTTAAGTTAATTTACCTTCTCTTCAATTTTGGACCAATGAGCGGGACAGGTTTCAGATTTGATACATTTCTTAGTTTTCTCAAATTACTCTGATCTCCAAAACCATAAATTGCTGACTTCCAGGTACCATCATGAATGCTCAACCCCTAATAAAATATTTCAAGAGTTAAAGAAACATGAAAGGGTAGTTACTAAAATGTAAAGCCAAGTAACTTATCATTGTTACAAACAATATTTCACTTATATTTGGACAAGACATAATCCCTGATTTAATAATCTTGAGGAGAATTTTCATGACCAGCTAGGGAGCAGTCACATTCATTAGCTTGATCATACCCAATATTTACACCGAGAAGCCCTTTCTTCTCCCCTCCTATCATTCTTTATATTCTGTAATAAGTTATTTAGTTTTACTTCATCAATTTTACTCAACTAATTGACCATATTCCTTCAAGATCAGCCACTCTAATCCTTTTTTTTCTGCCCCATATGATCTGCAGGAATAGCCACCCTAATCCTCTCTCGATCCTACACAAATTCCTCAACATTTCTGGATATGTCCGTGTGCACATTTATGCATACATACACTGTGTACTGTCCATCTCTCCATCCTGTTACACCTGGTTCCCCGTCTACCTCCAACACCTCTTACTCTAGCCCCAAGTTATAGATCTGTCTTCCTACTGAAGTCTTAGTAAAATAATTGTTTAAAACATTTAAAGTTCACTAATAATGATTTGTATTTTAATTGCTTTCCTCAATCCCTTGATTTCTTTTTGGTATCACAGCCAGTACAGAGTCCTTAGTATTTGCCTGATCTTACTCAGACTCTCATTTATTCACTGATTTTTCATCCTTTCATGAGACTTTGGGCTGTCAGTGCCTTCCATTCTACCAATACTCTTTACAGCTTCCCCAACCCTTACCTCTAGCGCCACCGAGAAACGAGTGGCTGAGACCCCAGGAGAGGACACGACCTCTGAATTTACTATCACAGCGCTGGCCCTTTTTTTTTTTTTTTTTTTTTGAGACAGAGTCTTGCTCTTGTCACCCAGACGGGAGTGCAATGGCACGATCTCAGCTCACTGCAACCTCTGCCTCCTAGGTTCAAGCAATTCTCCTGTCTCAACCTCCCGAGTAGCTGGGATTACAGGTGCCCACCACCATGCCTGGCTAATTTTTGTATTTTTAGTAAAGACGGGGTTTCACCATGTTGGCCAGGCTGGTCTCGAACTTCTGACCTCAGGCAAGCCGCCCGCCTTGGCCTCCCAAAGTGCTGGGATTGCAGGCATGAGCCACCGCGCCCGGCCTAGCACTGACCTTTCTTTCCCAACCTCTAGGTGGGCCTTTTAATTCTCTATTACAGGAATAAACTTCATTTATTATATTGATTGTACATAATTGTATTATGTCCTTCCTTCTATGTTGTTTACATTGTTTAGGTCAACAGAGTAATTCAGAAAGATTCAAAACTAATTCTGTCACAAGATTTTCAAAGAGGGATATGTGGGAGGCAGATATGAAGGTACCTTTCATTGTTAATAAACAAAATAAGAGAAACAATAAAACCATCCAAAGATTCAGGTTTTCCTATCTCAGCTTTGATGATACTGAAAAGCAGAGATACCAAATCTAACTTTCATTCTGGTACAGATTTATTTCTTCTGTTTTATTAAAACTACAACAGAACTAAAGTCTTAAAGGTTTGATTTGTTATCTACTCAATCTGAGCCTAGCCAAAAGGGCCTATGTGAATCTCTACAAATGTAAAGATTCCAAACACCAGGAGAAAACAGCTTTTTAAAAATCTAAACATATTTTCTTATACAACTAAGCCATTGAAAAGGAAAAAATTACATTCAATTTAAAAAACTATTTGCGTTTCACAGAAAAATATAGAGACGTACCTAATACAATTTTATTAAATTGTATATTCATGTATGTTATGAAGCCAACGTACATGTAAACATCCAGGTCAAGAACTACAGGTAACCAGCAACTAAGAAGGCCCTCCTTCCGTCCTGCCTTTACAGTAATCAAGAAAAATTCTTTTCTTTAGAGTTTAATCACCTAAGAATTCATCCCTAAACAGTACAATTAGTTTTGCCTGTTTCTAAGCTCTACAGAAATGCAATCAAGCAAGATTTATTACTGAGTGTTTGGCTTCTTATGCTCAAAATTGTGATGTCAGGATTTACCACGTGTTGTAAGTAACTCCTACATTGCAGCTAGCCTTTTGACTTTCTTAATCGTGTGTTTTGGGAAACATTCTCAATTTTAAAAGTACACAAACGTATCACTTTTTCATTACATTTAATGCCTCTTTGTCTTTTTGTAAAAGCCATTCCCAACCGTGAGGGCATCCACAATCCATCTAAACTTGATTTTGGTACGGGGTGCAAAAGTATGAATCCAATTCCATTTTTTCTCCAAGTAGATACTCAATTGTCCCAGCAGCATCTACCGAAAAGCCCCCTTGCTGTTCCTGCCAACTTGAAGCCCGGAGGCCTGCTGGGAGGAGGAATTCTAAATGACAAGTATGCCTGGAAAGCTGTGGTCCAAGGCCGTTTTTGCCGTCAGCAGGATCTCCAGAACCAAAGGGAGGACACAGCTCTTCTTAAAACTGAAGGTATTTATGGCTGACATAAAATGAGATTTGATTTGGGCAGGAAATGCGCTTATGTGTACAAAGAATAATACTGACTCCTGGCAGCAAACCAAACAAAACCAGAGTAAGGTGGAGAAAGGTAACGTGTGCCCACGGAAACAGTGGCACAATGTGTGCCTAATTCCAAAGCAGCCGTCCTGCTTAGGCCACTAGTCACGGCGGCTCTGTGATGCTGTACTCCTCAAGGATTTGAACTAATGAAAAGTAAATAAATACCAGTAAAAGTGGATTTGTAAAAAGAAAAGAAAAATGATAGGAAAAGCCCCTTTACCATATGTCAAGGGTTTATGCTGACTTAATAACAGGTCTTGATCTCCAAGAGTGTCTTTCTGCCTTATTCTCTTTCAAGAATATCTTGCCTGTTCTCAGCCCTTTGAGTTTCCACATACATTTTAGAAACAGCTTGTCCAGATGCACATCGAAACAAAACAAACAAAAAAACCTGTTTGTGATTTTGATGGGAATTGCATGAGATTATAAACAAATTTGAAGAAAATTAACTACAAAATGGATTCATATTTTAATCCATGAATACGCTGGATCCTTCAATTTATGTCTTCTTTATGGTCCCTCAATAAAGGTTTACAGTTTTCTTCAAAGAAATCTTGTACACTTTCTATTACTTACTCTTAGGTACTTGATTTATTTAATGCTATCATAAATGGTGTTTTTTACAAAAATAATCACCTTCTAACTGTAGCTGGCATACAGAAATACAGCTGATTTTTATATTAATTTCATATCCAGGAACAATAAAAACTATTGTGGAAATAAATGAAACAGAATAGAAAAAATCAACAAAACTAAAAGTTGGTTCTTTGAAGAGGTCAACAAAACTGACACATTTTGGCTAGACAGACCAAAAAAAAGAGAAAGAAAACCCAAACTACTAAAATCAGGAATAAAAGAGGGAACATTATTACCAACCTTATAGAAATAAAAAGGAGTATAAAGGAATACTATGAAAAGTGTATGCCAACAAATTAGATAACCTAGGTGAAACGGACACATGTCTGCTCAGTGGATCACGACCCTCTCACACGGACCCCCTTAGAGTTGTAAGCCCTTAAAAGGGACAGGAATTGCTCACTCGCGGAGCTCGACTGCTGGAGACGTGAGTCTTGCCGAAGCTCCCAGCCGAATAAAGCCCTTCCTTCTTTAACTTGGTGTCTGAGGGGTTTTGTCTGCAGCTTATCCTGCTACAGCCTAGTTGAAAAAATTTATGTTCAAGTGCTATTTCTTTTGCGGCACTGAAAATTTACTTCTAACAAATTTGGGGGCCCGCCCGGGATTCCCATTCTCCTTTGGTGAAGGGTCTGGTCCTCTCCCATGAGGAGGCATGCCCCGCTGCCTTGTTGCAGTGGCCTCAGGGGTAAGGAATCAAGACCCACCGGGTGTGACAAATAAACCCGGACTCTCAGCAATGCAGAAAGAAACTGGCTGGCGACCTGGGGAAAGGGATCATCACACACCGCAGCGACCAGGTAACTCTGTGCACAGACCAAGGTAAGAAACACCACAGGAGCAGCCAAGCGTTTCCTCGGTGGTCGGGATACTCTGCGGGGGTTGAAAGTGTGTGTGAATGCGAGGAGCCTCCAGCAGGTGGGGCTAAAGGATAGGAGACACATCTCTAAGATGAGAGATGGGGCCTAACCAGGACCCAATATGGGAAATACCCCAAGCAAGACAGGGACCAAGAAGGACAAAGATAACAAGGATATTCCCCTTGAGTGCCCCCTAGGTCTCATGTTAAAATACTAGAAGGATAATGAAAGGACCAAAAACAAGAAAAAGCAGCTGCTGTCCCAGACCCTTCTCCTATCCCCATTGTCCCCCTCCTTATAACCCTGCCTCCTGGGAACTGTCCCAGGAGCCCACTCACTACGAGCGTTAAGTCCTCTTCCCTAAAAGGACTTCAGCGTGAGATAGAGCAATGTAAAAAGGATTTTCAGAACTTCCCTTTCCTCTCTTCTCGGGGGAAGAAAGAGCCACGATCCGTCGAACTGCTATGGGAGTCTTGGAACGTGAACACCCTTCTGGCCAAAACGTTCCTACAGCGGATCAAAAATTTCCCGCCCAAAACCTCAGGTGGGACAATAACAATGCAGCCCCTCAAGAAAATATGCAGGACCTTAGGGAATTGATAATAAAGGGGATTAAAGAATCAGTATCCCAGAATCTTACCCAAACATTTTATGTACAGCAAGGGAAAGATGAAGCACCTATAAAATTTTTTAGATTAAAGGAACAAATGAGAAAATATGCTGGTCTAGGTCTCGAGGATCCTCTTGGGCAGGGAATGTTAAAACTGCATTTTGTCACTAACAGTTGGCCAGATATTAATAAGAAATTACAAAAGATAGAGAACTGGAAAGATAAACCTATAGAAGAGCTTCTAAGAGAAGCCCAAAAAGTGTATGTAAGAAGAGATGAAGAAAAAAGCAGAAAGCAAAAATTCTGCTGTCTACCATACAACAAAGTACCCAGGGGGCCAGAACCTGTAAAGAACCTAGACCCCCACTCTCCAGGCAACATAAAGAGGATGAAAGAGTAAAGCCAGGAGACTCAAAGGTAGAGAAAAAAAATCCTAGAGGAGAAAGACTGACAGGGAACAGAAGGAGTCAAGGAGAGAGAAAGAGAGAGAGAGAGAGTCAAAGAAAAAGAGAGAGAGAGAAAGAGACAGAGAGGCAAAGAGAGAGAAAGAGACAGAGAGGCGGAGAGAGAGAGAGACAGAGACACAGACGAAGAGGCAAAGGGAGAGAAAGAGGACAAAACAAATGTTTCGAATTAAAAATAGGTCACTTCAAAAGACAATGTCCCAAATGGGAAAAAGAACAAAAGTCATATATAAAAGCAAATCAGTTCATATTAAATTTCTGTTAATTCCAGAGGCAGGAACAAACTTATCAGAGAGAGATTTAGTACTAAAATTTGGCTTACGCCTCTATATTGATTAGGGAAAATTCCTCCCCTCCCTAAACTTGCTCCCCACCGCAGACAAAGAACACATTCATCCCAAGGTATGGTCAAAAGACAGGAATCGAGGAAAGTTACAGATTCCTCCGATTCGTGTTAAATTAAAAAAATTAAAAACCCCTGGGGAAGTAGAAAAGAGAAAGCAATACCCTATTCCTTTAAAAGTGAGGGTAAATTTAAAACCTACAATTGATAATTGAAGGTCTTCTCTGTGACGGGCTGCTTAAACCCTGTATGTCTCCCTATAACACTCAAATTCTGCCTGTAAAGAAGCCAGATGGGTCATACTGGTTAGTGCAAGAACTTAGAGCTATTAATCAGATAGCCAAACAGACTACCGTTTCTTAGCTGTACAACTGGCCTGCTTTGCAGCTAGGGAAAACCTAGGACACATGGAGTTAAATGCTAGGAGAAGCCAGACCTCATCTGCACTTCTGTCTAGGTCCTAGGCTCTACACCTAGCACATAATTAAAATCCCAAACTTACAAGGTTTTCAACAAAAGTAAAGTTTGCTAAAAGTTAAGTCTAACATGTATGATCCTAACTTCTAATCTTGTGGCCTCAGGCAGTCTAGTCCACAGACATGAAGGCAGTGTGCTTTGGAAAAGAATGGTTATCATCTTTGACATTAAAAAAAAAGGAGAATTAGCCGGGCGCGGTGGCTCAGGCCTGTAATCCCAGCACTTTGGGAGGCCGAGGCGGGTGAAGCATGAGGTCAGGAGATGAGACCATCCTGGCTAACACGGTGAAAGCCCGTCTCTACTAAAAAAATACAAAAAAAAAAAAATTAGCCGGGCGTGGTGGCGGGAGCCTGTAGCCCCAGCTACTCAGGAGGCTGAGGCAGGAGAATGGCATGAACCCGGGAGGCGAGCTTGCAGTGAGCTGAGACTGCGCCACTGCACTCCAGCCTGGGCGACAGAGCGAGACTCCATCTCAAAAAAAAAAAAAAAGGAGAATTTATGTAAAAAGAATCTTATATGGTAAATTCTTGTCCTAAAGTAAATTAACTGGTTGTTTAAAGAAAGGGATATTTACGACAAGTCAGAAAGTTAAGGCATGTCAAAGGTCGTCTGTGAAAGTCGTGAAAAATGTTATAAAAGGGAATTTATGCAAGAAATGTCATATAATTGAAAAGTAATTAGGCCTCCTGAATGTAAAACTATTGAAGAAACAGTTTATGTGCAAGGTGTGTAAGGAAAGTAAAATATACTTTTGGTAAAAGGATTATAAGGAGGCATAAGAATGTGGATTTTTACCTACATTAAAAGGTTAAAAATTGTTTTGAAGGTTTAAGCAAGGTTTGAAAAGTTAATTGTAAAGGAAATTCTGTGTGTAAACATATTGGTTAAAGTTTCTGTAAACTGGACATTAAAATAAAAGCACAACAGGTTTTTCTTAAAGTACTAACCTGTTCTTTAACAAAAATTATAAAGGGTTAAAAAGAGTCTATAAAAAACTTATGGTCAGACATTAAAATTGGATAAATATGTCTAAAAGGTTTTATTAAAATTGAGTTTAACATTAATAGCACACTAATAGAAAGGTGACATTTAGCTGATCTGCTAATTGTCAAATATAAAATGGCATTTGGGTTTCTTTGGTCTAAAAAATTAATAAAAACAGTTGCTAAAGAGAATTCTGAAGGAAAATGGATACTGCCAGACCAGAGAGAAATGTTATCCAAACCCCTTATGAGCGAAATGTTGTTCCAGCTGCGTCAAGGGACCCACTGGGGGCCCCACGCCATGTGTGACGCAGTCCTCAGAGTTTATGGGTGCACAGGAATTTATACCCCGGCCAAACGGGTTACAGACAGTTGCTCAGTATGTAAGAAAACCAATAAACAAACTATAAAAAGATTACCCCTTGGGGGAAGGAGTCCAGGCTTAAGGCCATTCCAAAGTATCCAGATTCATTACACAGAGATGCCTCCAATTGGTCGTCTAAAGTATTTATTAGTAATAATAGATCACCTTACTCGTTGGGTACAAACTATTCCCTTTTCAAGTACAACTGCTAGTAATGTAGTCAAGGCATTAGTTGAAAATATTATACCCAGGTTTAGATTAATAGAAAGCATTGACTCAGATAATAGGACTCATTTCACTGTACATGTCATTAAGAAATTAGCCCAGGTACTGGATATAACATGGGAATATCATACTCCCTGGCACCCACCTTCATCAGGAAGAGTGGAAAGAATGAACCAAACTCTAAAAAAGCCACCTAACCAAATTAGTCTAGAGACTCGGGTGCCATGGACTAGCTGCCATCCCATTGCCCTGCCTAGAATCTGAACTGCCCCTCGGAAAGATGTTCGCTTATCCCCTTACGAAGTGTTGTATAGGTTGCCCTGTTTGCACTCCACTGCTGACATTCCCACAGTCAAAACAAAAGATCAGTTCCTCAGAAATTGTATGTTTGGTTTATCTTCCACTTTCTCGTCCCTCAGAACTATAGGTCTTTCAGCACAGGTACCCCCCCGCTAGAGTTTCCAGTACACCAACATTAGCATGAGGACCGTGTCCTTGTCAAAAGCTAAAGGGAAGGAAAACTCGAACCCGCTTTCGAAGGACCCTACCTAGTGCTTCTAAGCACCAAGACCGCGGTTCGAACAGCAGAAAGAGGATGGACTCATTACACCTGGGTCCAAAGAGCACCACCCCCTCCAGAATCATGGACAGCTATTCCAGGGCCAACTCCAACCAAGCTAAAGCGAAAATGGGTTTGAACCTCCTATACTGCATCTCTTTCTTTTCCCCTTCTATTGCTAGTCCTCTCTTTACTAGTGTAACTAGGTCAAGTTCACCCCAAACCATTACTTTTGACGCTTGCCTTCTGATGCCCTGTGAAGATTTGTCAAACCAGAGGCAAATCTACACTTTAGAAAAGTATCTTTATCCTTCCTAGCTCTCCTCAGACTGGAAATCTGTTAACTGAGATAAGTTAGTTTGGGAGGACTTTGACAAAGAGTCCAGTATGAACTGGGAATCTTGTCCTCCTAGAGCAGAGCTTCTCTGCCGAAATTTGTCCGATGCTCTATAAAACACCAAAGAGCAAGGACGGACGGCCCCAACTAGTACTTGCAGCTTCTTAAAACCATACATTCATTTTACTAAAGGAGTTTCCCCTCCCCATGGTCAGCTGAACCAATGTAATCCAGCACAGATGACGACTGCTGCTCCCCAGAGTTCTTCCCCTTCATTAGGCCATTTCTGTGGTGTAGGAGAAGTCTCAGGGAAGGACCCCATAGGATCCTTTGAAATGTACTTCATTGCCTCCTCACATCCTGCACCCCCTTCTCCCTCGTCTAAGTTCTCCACTAACCAAACTTTCTCTCATTATATACCCAATGATAAAACCTATGTAGCTACTGTAGAGGTTAAAGATTTAAAACAAACTACAGCAATTGAAACAGGGTATCTGGATGCAAATGCTTGGCTGGAATGGATAAAATATTCTGTTTGCACGCTAAACAAAAGCGACGGTTATGCTTGTGCAACAGGCAGGCCAGATACCCAAACTGTCCCCTTTCCACCTGGGTGGTTCTCTCATGACTGGGCATGAGCTGTGTGGTAGCTCTCTTCCAGAACCCTACAGCCGAGGCGATGAGTCATGCAAGACTCTTTCACTGCTGTTCCCTGAGGTCAAGAGCCTTGTGGGTCAGCCCCCGAGGGCCATGTGGCCTCCAGCCTGATATTAACTTCACCTCGTGCCTTTCACGGCAGACGGAAAAGTTAGCATTCCTTGGAGACTTAACAGGGTGCAGTGAAACCAAGCCTTTTCCAGAGCTTACCCACCAGTCTGCCCTTGTTCATCCTCGAGCAGGTGCGTGGTGGTATTGCGGGGGACTATTGCTGGGTATTCTGCAAGTAATTAGAGCAGCACTTGTGCTCTAGTCCAGTTGGCCATCCCTTCCACCCTAGCATTCTGTCAACATGATAAAAAAGAAAATCATAAAAGAAGTGCCCCACATGGGTCCTTTGACCCCCATGTTTATATAAACGCTACTGGAGTTCCATGAGGAGAACCAGATGAATTTAAATCTCGAGATCAAATAGCTGCAGGATTTAAGTCAATATTTTTACAGGTGACAATTAATAAAAACAAAGACTGGATACATTACATCTATTATAATCAGCAGTGGTTTAGTAATTACACCAGGGATACTGTCAAAGGGATAGCAGAACAATTGGGGCCCACTAGCCAGATGGCTTGGGAAAACAGAATGGTCCTAGATATATTAGCCAAAAAAGGCGGTGTTTGTGTTATGATTGAAACTCAGTGTTGTACCTTAATCCCAAACAACACTACCCCCACTGGGAGCACAACGAGCGCCTTACAAAGACTTACCGCTTTGTCCCATGAACTAGCTAAAATTCTGGAGCCGATAACCCTTTCTCCGGGTGGCTAGAAAGGTGGTTTGGTAAATGGAAAGAACTCAGCCTCAATTCTTACTTCTCTTGCAGCTGTAACAGGTGTACTCATTCTTGGTGGGTGTTGTGTCATACCGTGCATCCGTGGGCTAGTCAAAGACTTACAGATGCAGCACTAACTAAAACCTCCCTTAGCTCTCCTCCACCCTATTCAGATCAGCTTTTTCTTTTAGAGGATAAAGTCGAGCAGCAAAGCCAAGACATGTTAAAAAAAGTTTGAAGAGGAAATAACAAGAAAATTGAAAGGGGGGAAATTGTAGGATAGAATAAATTCCTCTTCGAAGGTTTCAGCCTGTAAATTGTTACGTACAATGAGTCCTGAGATCCTCTCCAAAGAACCAATGTGTCAGTTATGTTCCGCTCCCCTGTTCTTTGTTCTTTAAAGTTTAACATCCTCGTTCTTTACGTCTCCTTGACCCTAGTTTCAGTAAACAACCCCCTCCTAGCCTCTATCACCTGCTCTGATCTTAGTCACCCTTGGTCACCTGCTCTGTTCTTAGTCATCCTGAGCCACTTGTTCTGTAACTGTCCTTCCTCGTACCCCTGCTCTCTTTAAAATAGCCAATCGGAATTAGCTTAGACTGCAGTCCAACCCTAGCCAAAAGGGGAATGACACAGCAGTAGGGGCTACCTGTGTCAGGGATAAGAACACCTTCCCCTCCCTTGTTCAGGTGTGCTCTCACCATTGCTCCATCCACGAGATGCACCCTTCTATAGAAGTAAAGTTGCCTTGCTGAGAAATTTTATGTTTCAGCGCTATTTCTTTTGCGGCACTGAAAATTTATTTCTAACAGCCAGGCTGGTCTCAAACTCCTGACCTCAGGTGACCCACATGCTTTGGCCCCTCAAAGTGCTGGGATTATAGGCATGAGCCACCGTGCCCAGCCTAACTTTCTTAATTAACTGAAACCTGTCTCAGATTTTCTGGGTTCACACTCTATTACCCCAGGTCACATCAACTGGCTTAAGAATGAGCAAAATGACTAATCTTCTCTATTGTTTGACATATAAACTGGGTAGCTCTTCCCAAGAAATCATGAACCTTTATTACAAAGTATACTTGGGGATGCCAGTACCTTCCCTGCTCTGTCCGGAGCCTACATAAAGAAAAGCAGAAGAAAAGAAAGAGACAAAAAGGGAGAAACAAGAGGGGAAAAAAAGAGTTCGGACAGTATCATTTGAACATCTAGATCCAGCCATATGATTTACTCTCAGGCATTTGGTTACATGAATCAATAGATTCTTTTTTGTTTTGTTGGTTTAAGCTGGGTTTCTAACACATGCTACCAAGGGTCCCAAGCATGCTTTTCTCATTCTTGTTTCTGAGCCTTTGTTCCAGTTGCTGCCTTTGACCTTCCAAATGCTATTCACTTTTCAAAGCCAATTTCAATAAGGCCTCTATGGCGCATTCCCAAATTACTCAGGCCCACTATCACTTATTTTTATTTTTGACACAGTCTCTTGCTCTGTTACCCAGGCAGGGGTGCAGTGGCACGATCTCGGCTCACTGCAACCTCTGCCTCCCAAGTTCAAGCAATTCTCCTGTCTCCATGACCCGAGTAGCTGGGATTACAGGAATGTGCCACCATGCCTGGCTAATTTTTGTATTTTTAGTAGAGACGGAGTTTCACCATATTGGCCAGGCTGGTCTCAAACTCCTGACCTCAAGTGATCCATCTGCCTCAGCCTCCCAAAGTGCTGGGATTACAGGCGTGAGCCACTGCGCCTAGCCACTTCTTTTTATTCTTATAAGGGAGGAGACCACCCCTAATATTGTCTTATGCCCAGTTTCTGCCTCCAAAGAAAGAAGTAAAAACTAAAAGGCAGAAATGAAATCCACAGGCAGACAGCCCGGCGCCGCGTCCTGGGCCTGGTTACAGATTGACCCTTGACCTGACCGGTTGTGTTATCTATAGATTCCAGACATTGTATGGAAAAGCACTGTGAAAATCCCTGTCCTGTTCTGTTCCGTTCTGATTGCCGGTGCATGCAGCCCCCAGTTATGTACCCCCTGCTTGCTCAATCAATCACGATCCTCTCACGTGGACCCCCTTAGAGTTGTAAGCCCTTAAAAGGGACAGCAATTGCTCACTCGGGGAGCTCAGTTGTTGGAGATGTGAGTCTTGCTGAAGCTCCAGCCAAATAAAGCCCTTCCTTCTTTTTTTTTTTTTTTTTTTTTTTTTGAGATGGAGTCTCGCTCTGTCGCCCAGGCTGGAGTGCAGCGGTGCGATCTTGGCTCACTGCAAACTCTGCCTCCCGGGTTCACGCCACTCTCCTGCCTCAGCCTCCTGAGTAGCTGGGACTACAGGTGCCTGCCACCACGCCCAGCTAATTTTTTGTATTTTTAGTAGAGACGGGGTTTCACCGTGTTAGCCAGGATGGTCTCGATCTCCTGACCTCGTGATCTGCCCGCCTCGGCCTCCCAAAGTGCTGGGATTACAGGCGTGAGCCACCATGCCCGGCCAGCCCTTCCTTCTTTAACTCGGTGTCTGAGGGGTTTTGTCTGTGGCTTGTCCTACTACACTTATACTCTACTAAAGAGTCTGTGTAACCACAAATTTTAGCATATTTTACATACCTCTTTACGTTAATCTGAACCCACAATCGAGATGAAGAAAGTACTTCCTCTTATTAAACACGTTCCATCCCACCCCATCTTTGTCTTTGATACACTATTTCCTCTTCCTTCACATCTCCACAGCACCAGCCCTTGAAATTCAGCTATATCCCAGCTTCTCCAGAAAGTTCATGATCTCTGGACTCTTAGTTAGATGTATTCGCCATTCTTAGAATCCTACAGTATTTCATCTGATCTCTTTAATAACAAACATTTTTTTCTTTCCTGCCAAACTAAATTATTACACTTTAAAGGTAGGGTTTGCATCTTATTCATTTACATGTCATTTTCTCTTGCACAGTTACTATATGCATTTGCACCACTATACAATATTTGTTGAATGAATATAATTTAGAACAAATACTTCTGAAGCCACAGTGCAGACCTAGAACTGGGTTAGGCACTATCAGCATAAAAGTATTGTCATAAAACATGGTCCTTTCCCAGAAATGCAACTGTCTTACGTTCCCAACGTCAATGTCTTACGTTCCCAACGTCAATGTCTTACGTTCCCAAATGCACTGTAGATTCAGTAAGACTAGATTCACCTCATACACCTCTGTTTGGTCACAGCAGTACCTAAGTTAGGCGCATGATAAAACTATGCTGACTTGCACTAAGGTGAAAATTTTCCTGGCCAACAACATTTACTGTGCACCAGTGATAAATGCTTTAGTGTTGAGATCATGATAATTCATTCTAATACAATGAACTGTGCAGTTGTTTTTAAAAGAAATTATATTTTAGGGGCCGGGTGCAGTGGCTCACGCCTATAATCCCAGCACTTTGGGAGGCCAAGGTGGGCAGATCACTTGAGGCCAGGAATTCGAGACCAGCCTGGCCAACATGGCAAAATACCAACTCTACTGAAAAAGAAAAAAAAAAACAAAAATTAGCCAGGTGTGGCGGCACATGCCTGTAATCCCAGGTACTCAGGCGGCTAAGGCAGGAGAACCACTTAAATCCGGGAGGCAGAGATTGAGTGAGCCAAGATCACACCACTGCACTCCAGTCTGGGCAACAGAGTGAGACTCTGTCTCAAAAAAATAAAATAGCCAGGCATGGTGGCTTACACCTGTAATCCCAGCACTTTGGGAGGCTGAGGTGGGCGGATCACCTGAGGTCAGGAGTTCGAGACCAGCCTGACCAACATGGAGAAACCCCGTCTCTACTAAAAATACAAAAAAAATAGCCGGGCGTGGTGGTACATGCCTGTAATCCCAGCTACTTGGGAGGCTGAGGCAGGAGAATCGCTTGAACCCACGAGGCAGAGGTTGCAGTGAGCCGAGATCATGCCATTGCACTCCAGCCTGGGCGACAAGAGCGTAACTCCATCTCAAAAATAAATAAATAAATAAAATAAAATAAAATAAAAAGAAAATAAAGTATATTTCAAGTCAAAGTAATCTTGGCAATGTATCTTTTTAAAAATTAAACATGGTGACTTTCACACATTAAAAATTATACATACCTAAAAGACACATGTATCATTTCCAAAATATTTTTAATATTAACTTGAAACAACACAAGACAAACCAAAAAACCAACCTCAGGTCCTGAATGTATAGTCAGGAAACTTTCCACAGCAGTCAAAGTACCTAAAAGAGTAGGAGAATGGTAAAAAGCAAAATAAAATAACATCTAAATTATTTGGGGTAAGTAATAATAAACAATGCGTATTCACTTAGGGACTAGCTTTTCTAAGCCTACAGCTGACACAGAAAATTTGTACAGACAACAGTTTTATTATGTTTTTGTACACAGACTTACGAAGTAGCTATGGCCAGGTAAACCATCAGAAAGAGTAGTCTAGCATAAACTCTATCTCTATTAGGTCTAAGGATTGGAACACTGAATATTTTGAAGATATTCAATTCACATTTCACTGTGACAAAATCTTTTCTAGTATTTAAAAACTGATGACAGTAAGAATCTCCCCCAATAAAGCAACAATTGAGCTCACCCGAATTCTGGGAGGCTCTTTAGGACACAATTACCAAATAGATCTATGAGGCTGGGCATGGTGGCTCATGCCTATAATCCCAGCATTTTGGGAGGTCAAGGTAGGAGGGTCACTTTCTTTTTTTTTTTTGAGACAGAGTCTGTCTCCCAGGCTGAAGTGCAGTGCAGTGGCGTGATCTCGGCTCACTGCAACCTCCACCTCCTGGGATCAAGCGATTCTCATGCCTCAGCCTCCCAAGTAGCTGGGATTACAGGCGCGTACCACCATGCCCGGCTAATTTTTGTATTTTTAGTAGAGATGGGGTTTCACCATATTGGCCAGGATGGTCTAGATTTCCTGACCTTGTGATCTGCCCACCTCGGCTTCTGAAAGTGCTGGGATTTCAGGCGTGAGCCACCATGCCCGGCCCCCAATTTTTTTAAAAAAATTAGCCAGCTGCAGTGGCATGTATCTGTAGTCCTAGGGACTACTACTACCACCCTACTAGGGAAGCTGGGGTAAGAGGACTGCTTGAGCCCAGGAGTTCAAGGCTGCAGTGAGCCATGATCACGCCACTGCACTCCAGCCTAGGTGACAGAAAAACACCTTGTCAAAAGAAGGAAGAAGTTAGATCCATGGGAATTATTCTGCTTTAAAATATGACAGCTTTCAAAAGGCTTATTAACAGTGGCTTACAATGAATGTACACAAAAACTATCAAAACACCCTCTGTGATAGCATATAAAACACTCAAAACAAGACTACTAAAATGAAATAAAAAGAAGTATAAAATAAAAATTGGAAACCAAGCCAGGAAAAAGGGGACATCAAGTATATTACCCATGAAGACTAATATACAGGCATAGTGGTTAAGTATTTAATTATTGAGTTTCTCAAGAACATTGAGGCAAAAGAAAAATATAATGGGCTGGCTAATTCTCAAAATCTGATAAATGAAATATATTCATTCCTTAAGAGACAATGTTCCTGGTTTTAATTCTAAGAGAAAATTAAAACATGGGGCCTTACAAAGTTGACACCAAGCAAAATAATAAATAACCACGTCATCAACAAAGCTGTTGCAGCAGAAGAGAACTACAGCCAGATAAATGTCGTTAGTCTGACCACAGACAAAAATAAAAAGCAGATCATTAACGTATAACTCACTAGAGCGATTCTGATGGTTACTAAAAGAATGTGGCCTGGGTGTGCGGCTCTGTGATCTAACCCGATCCGCAGAAGAACACAGAACACCTAAAGCGGTAATCCAATAAAAGTGGACCACCTGCATCAACAATCAGCTGGGGTGCTTGCTAAAATGCTGACTTCTAGGTGTCAGGATCTGAAAAAAATTTTAAACAAACCTTAAACTAATATTTCTCCCTTATGAAGGAAAAAAAGGCTTATTCAAAATAAAAGCAGAGAACAACCTCAAGAAACAGGATTATCATGAAGAAAACTTCTAAACTTCACAGACGTTAAAGCATTATTTTAAGAAATGGAGACATATTAGGTCTAAGGATTGGAACACTGAATATTTTGTAGATGTTCAATTCACATTTCACTTTTTAATTGGAATGGTTCTAGTGTTTCACCATTCATTAAGTATGATACAGCTACTGCCTTCTGACATTCATTCATTCGTTCATTCATTCATTCATTCATTTGAGACGGAGTCTCCATCGCCCAGGCTGGAGTGCAACAGCGCGATCTCAGCTCACTGCAACCTCCGCCTCCGGGGTTCAAGCGATTCTCCTGCCTCAGCCTCCCGAGTAGCTGGGATTACAGTTGCACATCACCACGACCAGCTAATTTTTTTGTATTTTTAGTAGAGACAAGGTTTCACCATGTTGGCCAGGCTGGTCTCAAACTCCTGACCTCAGGTGATCCACCTGCCTTGGCCTCCCAAAGTGCTGGGATTACAGGCGTGAGCCACCGTGCCCAGCCCTGACATTTATTATGTAGGAAACTATTCTATTCCTAAAAATGTAAAATCAGTAAATGGTGTGAATTCTCAATTTTCAAATCATTTTTTGAGATGGGCATATAGCTGTTCACCTCTGATATAATTGCATAACTTCCTAATGCTAAACCTTGGTCTCAATATATTGTTCTTCTAAAATGCCACTGGATGAGCTGCGCATGGTGGCTCACGTCTGTAATCCCAGCACTCTGCGAGGCCAAGGTGGGAGGATCACCTGAGGCCAGGAGTTCAAGACCAAACTGGGCAACATAGTGAGAACTCATCTCTACAAAAATTTTATAAAATTAGTTGAGTATGGTGGCATAAGCCTGCAGTCCTAGCTACTTAGGAGGTTGTGGAGGGAGCACTGCCTGAGCCCAGGCATTCGTTACGGTGAGCTACGGCAGAGCAAGATCCTGTCTCTTAAAAAACTTTTTAAAATGGCACTGGATTAAAATTTTATATAGTATTTTCTTTTTACTTTTAATTTCATAAGCAAGATTTGTAGTTTGTGTGTGTGTGTGCTATCTTTGTTGGACTTTGGTTTCATAGTTATGCTAACTTTTTAATATATGCTGGAACATTTTCCAATTTTTTAAGTCTAGAACACTTTATATGGTACTGAAGTTACCTGTTTCAGTTTTGTTTTTTGTTTTTGTTTTTTTGTTTTTTTGCTTTTTTCTAAGAGACAAGGTCTCACTCTGTAACCCAGGCTAGAGTGCAGTGGTGCAATCATAGCTTACTAAAGCCTCAAACTCCTGGGTTCAAGTGATCCTCCTACCTCAGCCTCCTGAGGAGCTGGGACTGACTACAGGTGTGCACCACCACACCTGGCTAATTTTTTTTTATTTCTTAGGGACGAGTCTTACTATGTTGCCCAGGCTGGTCCTGAACTCTTGGCCTCGAGAGATCCTGCTGCCTCAACCTCCCAAGTAGCTAAGATTATGGGTGTAAGCCACCACACCCTGCTCAGGTAATTTTCTAAACCAGACACTCTTAAATATGCAAAACATCAGTAACTTCAAATGTTTTATCGTAACATTATTTTCTCCATTCTTAAATAAGTGTCTCCAATTCTGTGTTCAATACTTTCTAGCTTTGACGGTTAAAAATTTAAAACCTTTTAACTATAATATACAAATTATGCTTTAAAATGTGCTGATTCCTAAACAAAGCAAGTTTGAATTTATAACGTTGCCAAAGTTGTTTTCCAGAAATTTTACAGCCCAAACTATACTGAGACAATAATATATCACTGTAAAATACAGTATTATCCATGTCTCAACAATAGTCTCAATAGCATTTTATTAAAAGTGCAGCTATATTAAAAACAAAACATGTGTTTAATATTACCCATTTATGGCTATGTTTCTTTTTTCAACTAGATTTTAGTTCACCACAGTTAGAAACATGAAGCCTTTGCACGGTACTGTTAAATTCCATTATTGCTTATTGATCAATAATTACCATTCATTTTATTTCTGGTATATATTACTCCCAGATCTGCTGGAATGGAGTCAAAGCCGCTGCTTCCAATGATATAAACCCCTTTGTCTGCAGCTTTCTCATGATACTTCAGTTGCATTAGTTCCAGAAACTAAAAAATCCAGGATAAGAATTTTAATTAGTTATGCAGAAAGATGTAGACCAGTATTAAATAATTTATCTTTAAAAACAAAGCAACCAAACTTTGAAAATGCTAAGCAGTGTGGCTCTGCAGCAAAACATTAACTGTCAAAATATTTTCCACTTATTCGGCAAATACAGCGCCTACTGCACACCAGGTGGTACAGAAGTTGTGCTCGTCTGACTGTATGACACTTAATTTTTTTAGAATGACTTTTAAATATAAAAGTAATGCCTATTATAAAATATTAAAATATAAAAAATAGAAAGCAAAAAAAAAATGACCCCAAACAGCATTACCCAGATGAACATCATCACAGACATAAAGCTCCGCACACGTACAGACAGAGAGCAGGAAAGTAGATGGTGGCAGAGGGCACAGGGGAATAATGTCTGCTCTGCTCTTCTGCCTGTTTTTAGAAATTCCTTTTTAAAAACAGTTTAAGATTTACAGAAAAATTGAATAGTAGAGAGTTCCCAAGTACTCTGAAACCCAGTTTTCTCTATTTTTAACATCTTTTACATGAACAGTGGTTACAATTAATGAACCAGTACTGACATATATGATTTAATTCACTAAAGTTCACAGTTCATTCTGATTCCCTTAGTTTTAACTGAACCCCTTTTTCTGCTCCAGGATCCCATCCAGGATTACATTCGGTTGTTACGTCTCCTTCGGCTTCTTTTGGCTGCGACGGTTTCTCACACTTTCCTTGTCTCTGATGACCTTGATGGTTTTGAGGAGTACTGGTCAGGCATTTTGTAGAGTGCCCCTCTACTGGAATTTGTCTCATGCTTTTCTCATTATTATTATGAGTTTTGGAAAGAGACCACAGGGGTAAAGTGCTATTCTTATCATATCATATCACATCGGGGCTACGCACTGTCAACATGATTTACCAGGGTTAATGCTGACTTGAACACCTGGCTGAGGCAGTGTTCACCAGGTTTCTCCACTGTCAATTTATGCTCCCTCTCCCAGAAGGTGACACACAAACACAATCACACCTGTTCAAGCACATACCAGACACAAACACACACCACACACACCCATTCATGCACATACACAAACACACACGAACACAATCACACACACACACTTGCTCATGCACACACAAACACATTAAGTCACACTAACATAGTCACACACATACAAACACATTAACACACTCAGTCACACACACAGCTGCTTGCACATAAATGTGGAGAAGCTACATAAATCATTTGGAATTCTTCCACAAAGAAGATTTGTCTCTTCTCATCCCTGCCTTTTTGGTTTTGTTTTGTTTTGAGACGGAGTCTCGCACTGTTGCCCGGGCTGGAGTGCGATGGTGCAGACTCGGCTCACTGCAACCTCCACCTCGCGGGTTCAAGCGATTCTGCTGCCTCAGCTTCCCGAGTAGCTGGGTTTACAGCACCTGCCACCACGCCCAGCTAATTTTCTATTTTTAGTGGAGACAGGGTTTCTCCATGTTGGTCAGGCTGGTCTCAAACTCCTGACCTCAGGTGATCCACGTGCCTCGGCCTCCCAAAGTGCTAGGATTACATCCCCTGCCCATTTTTAAAATAAATTGTCTTTATTTCTATTATTGTCTTGTAAAAGTTCTTTAAATACTCTGGGTTTTTTTTTTTTGAGACGGAGTCCCACTCTGTCGCCAGGCTGGAGTGCAGTGGCATGATCTTGGCTCATTGCAACCTCCGACTCCCAGGTTCAAGCGATTCTCTTGCCTCAGCCTCCCAAGTAGCTGGGACTACAGGCGTGCACCACCACGCCCAGCTAACTTTTGTATTTTTAATAGAGATGGGGTTTCACCATGTTGGCCAAGATGGTCTCGATCTCTTGACCTCGTGATCCGCCTGCCTCGGCCTCCCAAAGCACTGGGATTACAGGTGTGAGCCACCGCACCCAGCCCTCTGGTTCTTTAATAGGTTTGTTGTTGTTGTTTTGAGACAGGATCCGACCCTGTTGCCCAGGCTGGAGTGCAGTGGCGCAATCTTGGCTTACTGCAACCTCCAACTCCTGGGTTCAAGTGATTCTCATGCCTCAGCCTTCTGAGTAGCTGGGATTGCAGACGTGCACCACCATGCTTGGCTGATTTTTGTATTTTTAGTAGAGATGGGGTTTCGCCATGTTGGCCAGGCTGGCCTCAAACTCCTGGCCTCAAGTGATCCACCCACTTTGGCTTCCCAGAGTGCTGAGATTACAGGTATGAGCCAACGTGCCCAACTCCTTATTAGGTTTTGATATTATGGCTGGGCGTGGTGGCTCATGCCTGTAATCCCAGCATTCTGGGAGGCCGATGCAGGTGGATCACTTGAGGCCAGGAGTTCAAGACCAAGCTGGCCAACACGGTGAAACCCTGTCACTACTAAAAATACAAAAATTAGTCAGGTGTGGTGGTGTGCACCTGTACCCCCAGCTACTCAGGAGGTTGAGGCAGGAGAATCGCTTGAACCCAGGTGGCAGAGGTTACAGTGAGCCAAGATCGTAGCACTGCACTCCAGCCTGGGTGAGAGAGAGAGACCCTGTATCAAAAAAAAAGGGGGGGGTTCGATACTACTTTTATGATAGTTTCTAGATGACTTAAAAGCTTTTCACCATTTTCTATGTTCTGGGTTATTTAAAATAACATGGGAATTGTTTTTTGTTTTTGTTTTTTGGAGACAGGGTCTCACTATGTTGCCCAGGCTGGAGTGCAGTGGCATGATCATAGCTCATTGCAGCCTTGACCTCCCAGGCTCAAGTGATATTCCTGTCTCATTCTCCTGAGTAGGTGGGACCACAGGTGTGTGCTACCAACTCCTGGCTAATTTGTTAACTCACCAGCTCAAGTCATCCTCCCACCTAGCCTCCCAAAGTGCTGGGGTAACAGGCGTGAGCCACCTCGCCTGGGCTTTTTTTTTTTTTTAATTTGTTTCCTCCTTTTTGAATCAATTTTTGTAATTTACACTGTCTCAGTATTTTCCAGTATTTTACCAATTGATAAACTGCAAATGCATATTAATATCATATTGGCATGCTGATGATGATAATCAGTAGTTACTACAGAGACACATGAGGTTACCATTTTAAAGGCTGTAGTAGAGCTTAATGCCTGTTAACACATAACTTCCTGTGGTCAGGCAAACCTCAATTGAAGACCTAGTTCTTCTACTTACTAGGTGCATTACTAGGTGCATTACTAGGTGCATTACTGAGTGAGTTACTTAAGCTTCCTAAGCTTTAATTTCCTCATCTACAAAAAATGGAGGAAGATAACTACCCTATAGGTATATTTTTAAAAAGTTACATAAAACACTTAGCACAATGTTGGGCATATGGTAAGCATTCAATAAATGTGAACATTTAAAATGTTTAGGTTGATTTTACACTAGTGAATTTTACCTTTATTTTTCTGTAATGTTATAAAGGTAACTGAATTTTCTTTTTTTTTTTGAGACAGAGTCTCGCTCTCGCTCTGTGGCGCAGGCTGGAGTGCAGTGGAGTGATCTCGGCTCACTGCAAGCTCCACCTCCTAGGTTCACCCCATTCTCCCACCTCAGCCTCCCAAGAAGCTGGGATGACAGGTGCCCGCCACCATGCCCGGCTCACTTTTTGTATTTTTAGTAGACATGGGGTTTCACCGTGTTGGCCAGGATGGTCTCGATCTCCTGACCTCATGATCTGCCCGCCTTGGCCTCCCAAAGTGCTGGGAGTGCAGGTGTGAGCCACCGTGCCCGGCCTAAAGGTACCTGATTTTTAAAAGGGAATTCAAAATGAAAACATGACAGAATTGAGATTCTAAGAATTATGCACAGTCCGCTATTTTAATTGATTCAGTTTAAAGCATGAAGTAGCTATAATAAGCACAGACCTATAAGAAATGATGTTGTAGGGAGGGAAAAAATTCAGAAAACTGAAGCTAAGACCTTACCATCAGCGCTCTCCTTTGAGCTATCAATGGAATACCACACGAATACCATATCTGAATGCTAGAAAGGAGTTGTCGGCTTCTAAATATGTCTGCAAAATTACACTAAATATTTCCACTTCATTAAACCGAAATTTATGTGTTAATTCTACGTTTTTCCTTTTTATTTTTTATACCTGAGGTTCTCCACTGATGTCGATACAACTGGCTCCATTTTCAATACATGCTTTTATTACAGGTTCTCCATAAAACCGATACTAGGGAAACAAAAAGAACAAAGAGGTTATTCTTGCTTGACAAGTTTAAATGAATAAAATGCCATCTAATCCTGGAAGTAAACAGTCCTAGTTATCAAGAAATCAACTGTTAATAAAATAGCCTAAAGATAAATTCAGAAAGTGGCCAGGCACAGTGGCTCACACCTGTAATCCCAGAACTTTGGGAGGCCGAGGCAGGTAGATCACTTGAGGTCAGGAGTTCAAGACCAGCCTGGCCAACATGGTGAAACCCCATCTCGACTAAAAATACAAAAATTAGCCGGGCGTGGTGGCACACACCTGTAATCCCAGCTACTCGGGAGGCTGAGGCAGGAGAATGGTTTGAACCTGGAAGGTGGAGATTACAGTGAGCCAAGATCGTGCCACTGCACTCCAGCCTGGGCGACAGAGTGAGACTCCGTCTCAGAAACAAAAAGATAAACTGAGAAGATACCTGCACAATACCATCTCTCACAGTGTGAATAAATAAAGGCATGATGGAATTACAGAGCAATGTATGCTTACCTCTACCTGAAGACAAAAGGAAAAGTTTCATACAAGTGATTCCCTTGAGTTGAACCCTAAAGAACAAATAAAAATTTTCCAGGAAAAAGAAAAATCCAGATACAGGAAAAAGTAAATGCAGAGGTTAAGAAAAAGGAGCTGTTCCTGTTGCTTGAAGCAGGAATCAAATTCACTTGAGTAGGAAGTAGAAAGAGATGGGTCTGAAAAGGCAGGCTACGGCCACATCAGGAAGGACCACATGTGCCATGCTAACAAGTTTCAACTTTATCCTTTCTAGTTTACTTGGCTTTCCAGAAGAATTTTAAACAGGATAGTGGTATAAGACTTATAGCACAGACGATATACTAAAGATGAGACATACAATACTAAAAAGGTGGAAATGACTGGATTTCCTGACTAGCTGGGCTGGACATGGGGGCCAAGAACCAGTGGTATTATTGGTCAAAATTAAAAACAAACCAACAGGAAGAAGAGAGTTTGCAAAGGATAAGTTTGATACTGAACAGAGCAGATATTCTGAGCCTGTATGATATTAGATTTCCCATATTATCTGTTATTCAAACTCAAGGAATTAAAATACAAATTTTCATATGTAAAAGCTAATACATCAGAATTCAGTCCCATTTCCAAAGAAGCATGACAAATCTTTTCCTTTGTGAAGAAGTAGATTAGAAGCACAAACTCCTCTGCTTTATTCATTCCTGGCAGCAAAAGATGGAACAAGGAAATCGTTTCTTTCTTCCAGCCTTTGAGGAACAAGGGACACTTAAAAGACACAATCGACCTTTACAAATAGGTCAGATGGGCTGCCCTCTTACCTAACTCCAAGACCTCACACCTCTTACTAAGAATGGCGGATAACACTGGAATTACAGGACTGGGAGAAGTGTGTGAAATTCGAGTTCCTACCCTCCCATTAACAAACCACATGAAATTAATGAAGAACTCTACTTCTGAGGCAGTATGGTATCATGGAACAAAGGATTTCAAGGCAGTAAGACCCAAGTTCACACCTGGAATCCATCACCTACTAACTATATGAATTTACTTATAAATCACTTAAATTGCCTACCAAATGAATAAAACACACATTTTAAACATATTTAAATAGAACTAAAGTTGAGATTAAAACAGAAGTTGAAGCTCCATATGCTTTCTGCACCCAGTGGATTATCCTGGTTGATCCTTAGGGTTTGCACACATCCATTTTAAAACTCATTTGGAGCTTTCTCGGCCTTGTTCTTAAGTTATTTCACCCCCAAATTTCTCAAGTTGGCCATGAGTCCACCTGCTTTAGAATCACCTGGGTTGCATGCTGGTCACTCACTCCCACTCCAGACCCCCAGAATCAGGCTTTCTGAGGTAGACTCCAGTAACTTGCATTGTAAATAAGCCTCACAGGTGATTCTTGTGTACTTCAAAGATGGAGAATCACTGCCCCAGACATTCTCCCAGGAAATCTCACCTACTCTCCCAACTTCAATAAAATCTGTGCTGTGACCTCCAACCTCTATGTCTAGAGTTGCTCACTGATAGGATTTCCCTCTGTTTTTTGTTAGAAAGGTCAGGACCAGTGAGAGCACAGGACATGTAGCATGAGTCACACATAAAACTAATTTCACTTTGCCTACATTTTCCTTTTATTTTCTCTTCCCCCTGATTTTCTCACTTACTTATAAAACATCATATACAAACAGTATATTATTTGTATTTTCTGTCTTGATGCAAGGTATCTAGCAGACACCTCAATTTCAACAAGTCTAAAACCGAATTCATCATCTCTCTCTCTAAACCTATTTCTCCTCCTCCACTTCCTAGCACGTGCTTCAATGTGTAGCCTCTAGGCCAGGTGTGGTGGCTCAAACCTGTAATCTCAGCACTTTGGGAGGCTGAGGCAGAAGGATCGCTTTGAGACCCCATTTCTCTAAGAAAAAAAGTGTGTGTGTGTGTGTGTGTGTATAAAATATGATGCTACGGACTATATATAGAGGCCATATACTTATTATATATATATATTATACATATAAGGACTATATATATATGGCATATATATATAAACACATGGCCAGGCACAGTGGCTCACGTCTGTAATCCCAACACTTTGGGAGGCCAAGGTGAGTGAATCACTTGAGCTCAAGAGCTAGAGACCAGCCTGGGCAACAGGGCAAAACCCTGTCTCTACAAAAAATACAAAAATTAGCCAGATGTGATAGCACCAGTCTATAGTCCCAGCTACTTTCAGGGCTGAGGCTGGAAGATCCCTTGAGCCCAGGAGGTTGAGGCAGCAGTGAGCTGTGTTCGTGCCACTCTACTCCAGCCTGGGCAACAAAGTGAGACCCCCATCTCAAAAAAATAAAAATAAAAAACAAAGTATAGCCTCTAGTTCAGCCTGCCTGGGTCCCACTTCTAACATCTTTCTGTTGTGCTCAAAAGAGGGAAGACTCTGAGACAAAACTGAGCAAATGGCTGAACAGCAGAGTGGTCTAGAGTGTGGGCTTTAAGTCAGGCCACACTTACATCCAGGCTCTGCAGCCACTAGCTGTGTGACCCTGGGCAAGTCACTTTACCTCTCTAAGCATCAACCTCTTCAATCAAAGAATGGTGATGAATAACAACACTCACTTCCCTGGGTAGTTGTGAGGATGAAATAAGAGAATACAAAGAGCTTAGTGTGGGGCCAGGCACATGGTACTCAGATGGCTTCTTTTTTTTATTTAATGGCATTACTCCCCACATAATTCTCAGGTTAAAACCTGGAAGCAGGCTGGGTGTGGTGGCTCATGCCTGTAATCCCAGCACTTTGGGAGGCCGAGGCAGGTGGATCACCTGAGGTCAGGAGTTCAAGACTAGCCTGACCAATTTGGTAAAACCCTGTCTCGACTAAAAATATAAAAATTAGCTAGGTGTGGCGGCATGAGCCTGTAGTTCCAGCTACTCAGGAGGCTGAGACAGGAGAATTGCTTGAACCCGGGAGGTGGAGGTTGCAGTGAGCCTAGATCGCACCACTGCATTTCCGCCTGGGTGACAGAGCAAGAACCGCCTCAAAAAAAAAAAAATCTGGAAGCAGTCTTTCATGCTACCTATCCTGGAAGTCACCAAGTTTTATCAATTCAGTTTCCTAAAATTATCTCAAATCAGTCTCCTCTCCCCTGCACAATTATATCTTAGTTCAGACCCTGTCAACACTCATCTAATTTACTATAAATAGGCCCTAACTGGTTATACTGCAGCCAGCTAGCCCCATCTCCAAATACATAACAAATTGTTATTCTAAAATAAAAATGTGATGTCACCTTTCCTCCTGCCTCACTCCTATAACATATCCACTCTTCAAATCTGATAGACTGGATTAAGAAAACGTGGCACATATACACCATGGAATACTATACAGGCATAAAAAAGGATGAGTTCATGTCCTTTGCAGGGACATGGATGAAGCTGGAAACCATCATTCTGAGCAAACTATCACAAGGACAGAAAACCAAATACCGCATGATCTCACTCACAGGTGGGAACTGAACAATGAGAACACTTGGACACAGGGTGGGGAACATCATACACTGGGGCCTGTCGTGGGGTGGGGGGCAGGGGTAGGGATAGCATTGAGAGAAATACCTAATGTAAATGACGGGTTGATGGGTGCAGCAGGCCAGCATGGCACATGTATACCTATGTAACGAGCCTGCATGTTGTGCACATGTACCCTAGAACTTAAATAAAAATAACAAAAACAAAAAAATCCCTACAGTATATAGTACAAAGTCCAAATTTCTTAGCATGTCACAGAAAGTCCTTAGTATCATATCATACCACAGCCCCTTAATTCTCATGTTCCAGCAGTTCTAAATTCCATGTAATTCCCCAAGCATGCTGCTTCTTCACACCCAGTGTGCTTGCTTCCACTACCTGGAGCACCCTCCCTTCATTCTGCTGGGCCAACTCCCAGCTCCTCCAGGCTCTGCCTTACAGCCACAGGCTCACTTCTCATGTCTGGCTAGTGAGCCCATCAGCTAGGCAGTGTATCTATGAGTACTGGCAGGCTGCAGTGAAGTATTAATGAGCTTATTAAAATAATCGTAGCTCCTTCTGGAAAGAAAACGCATTTTCCTATTTGCCAGTCTGCCCATTCCTTACTTTTACTGCATTTTGTCACATCTGGCCCACTTCTTTGAGTAATCTGGAGTTGAGACTTCTCACTAACTTATTCCTATTTTATGAACTTGCTAGATTTTTCTCCACTTAGTACCCTGTGCTTGTCTGAGACAGGTGAACAGTCAGAGTAGCAATCCTTCATCTCGGGGAGACACTTCTCCCCTGTGAGGCCAATTGGCTCAAAGGTCAGAACCGCAATCCTGCTCTCCATGTCTCATCTTCTTCTTTTTTCTTTTTGAGCTGGAGTTTCATTCTTGCTGCCCAGGCTTGAATACAATGGCGCAATCTCAGCTCACTGTAACCTCCGCCTCCCGGATTCAAGTGATTCTCTTGCGTCAGCCTCCCGAGTAGCTGCAATTACAAGTGTGTACCACCATGCCCAGCTAATTTTTTGTATTTTTAGTAGAGACAGGGTTTCACCATGTTGGCCAGGCTGGTCTCAAACTCCCGACCTCAAGTGATCTGCCCACCTCAGCCTCCCAGAGGTTTGGGATTCCAGGCATGACCCACCGCGCCTGGCCCTCAAAGTTCCATCTTCTAACCCAGTGGTCTCCCAAGTAGTCTTCCCCTAAGGGAAGCGCAGAATGATCCACTGAGGGTGGAAGTAAATATCAGAACTTTTATCCATGTTAATGTTTACAAAAACATGACGTTCCGTTAACGGTTACTATATGGACTGACTACGAGACATTCCCTGGGCCATGTTAAGTGGTCATGTGTTGAAGACAGGACACAGCAGGTATCCTGATGGGGTTGTGGGAAAGTTTCCATCACACAGAGAGGGCCTCAGCACCACTCTTCATTCATTCAGTCGTTTTCACTTTACTGCAACCTAATGCCTGAATGAGGTTATTGAGGTTCTAAAGCTTAAACGCTGAGGCCTCAAGCATTTAGAGTGGGGAGGACAAAGACGCAGTGGAGGAGACGAGGACTTCCAGGGTGAAGCTGGTGGACAGGAGGAAAACTACGAGAAGATGACAACGTAGAAGCTGAGCAAAGAAAGGAGAAAGTGGTCAGCTGGATCGAATGCTGCAAGCTTTCAGATGAAGACTGGATTTGACAGGGTGGGACTTTAGCAGAGTAGTTTCATTGGAGGAGGGAGGAAAACAAAAGCCCAATAGGAGGCGTTTAAGATAGAGTAGGAGGTGAAGAAGCAGAGATAGTGAGTCATGAGAATTCTTCCAAGGAGGCTGCTAAAAAGGGGGCACAAAAAGTAGAGTAGTTGGAAGGGTATGTGGAATCAAGCAGCTTTTTTTAAAATATGGGAGATATCACATATTTAAATGCTGATTGAAATAATCCAGTAAAGAGGAGAAATTTGATAACAAGATAATGTGTAATTGTAAACATAAAGTGTTACAGGAAGTCAGGGACCCCGAACAGAGGGACCAGCTGAAGCCACGGCAGAAGAACATAAACTGTGAAGATTTCATGGACATTTATTAGTTCCCCAAATTAATACTTTTATAATTTCTTACACCTGTCTTTACTGCAATCTCTGGACATAAATTGTGAAGATTTCATGGACATTTATCACTTCCCCAATCAATACTGTTATAATTTCCTATGCCTGTCTTTAATCTCTTAATCCTGTCATCTTTGTAAGCTGAGGATGTATGTTGCCTCAGGACCCTGTGATGATTGAGTTATCCGTACAAACTGTAAAACATGTGTCTTTGAACAATATGAAATCTGGGCATCCTAAAAAAGGAAGAGGATAACAGCAATTTTCAGGGAACAAGGGAGATAACCATAATGTCTGACTGCCTGCGCGACTGGGCAGAAGAGAGTCATATTTCTCTTCTTGCAGAAAGCGAATAGGAGAAATATCACTGAATTCTTTTCCCAGCAAGGAATAACCCTGGGAAAGGAATGCATTCCCAGGGGGAGGTCTCTAAAATGGCCGCTCTGGGAGTGTCTGTCTTATGCAGTTGAAGATAAGGGATGAAATACACCCTGGTCTCCTGCAGCACCCTCAGGCTTGCTAGGATTAGGAAATTCCAGTCTGGCAAATTCTAGTCAAACTGGTTGTCTGCTCTCGTACCCTGTTTCCTGTTAAGATGTTTATCAATGACAGTGCGTGCCCAGCGGGACATGGAACCTCATCAGTAATTCTAATTTTGCCCTGGCCTTGTGATCTTGCTCTGCCATTTGCATTGTGATACCGTATTGCCTTTTGAAGCATGTGATCTCTGTGACCCACTCCCTATTTGTACACTCCCTCCCCTTTTGAAATCCCTAATAAAAACTTGCTGGTTTTGCAGCTCAAGGGGCACCACGGAACCTGTCAACAAGTGATGTCACCCCCAGAGGCCCAGCTGTAAAATTTCTCTTTGTACTCTTTCTCTTTATTTCTCAGACTGGCTGACACTTAGGGAAAATAGAAAAGAACCTATGTTGAAATACTGGGGGCTGGTTCCCCCGATAATAAAGTCTTTGAAAACTGTGCCCAATAGGAAGAGGACCAGTTTTTCCTTGTAACAAGAGATATGGCAGACTACAGGGTATGATGCAGATTGGCAGACAGGTAGGTAGGTAGATAGATCTGGTGGTAGGAAGATGAAGAAAGAAATTCTGTTATTAACCAGCTTCTATTTTCATAGTTAAAAAAAAAGAAAAATAAAATCAGATAAGAACAAGGAAAGAGAGACGGGATACTAAAAGTTCAAGGAAAACAAGGTTGTGAGCTGCTTCAGAGAGCAGGAGAGAGAATTCCTGAGGGAAATAGAGCAGAGCTGCCGGAGGTGCTAAGCACCACACAACGTTTGTAAACACATATTTGAAGTGTGACCAGTTAGCAGGGGGATACATTTTTCTCCAGCCACACTGTGTTACTCATGTTCAGGTGAAGAGCAGGCAGAGAATAACCAGGGCTGGGATTTTTCCAGAGTACTGAGGAGAAAAAGGCAAGGGAGATAGATGAGGGCGTCCATTATAGAGTGCAGCAGTGGACCTCATGGATGGAATCTAAGCTAGTTAAGAATGAGATGAATCTAAATCAACAACACTTCTATTTAATAGCAATTCAAAAACCCTTTTGCTCTCAATTAAAAATTATTAATATTTTAGATATTTAATTTTTAAACATCTTGCCAACTGTGATGGCTTCTTCAGATCACTAAATGTCACCAACATTCACCTTGTTACACAGGCCAAAAGTCTGATGGCCTGTGACTTGATGACTTTTTCACAGTACAACAGCAAAAGCCGTTCTCCTTTGAAAATATACTCTGGACCTAACTACTTCTCAGCACCACTACGACCCCAGGGCTTGTGCTTGCACCATTCCATTGCTCATCCTTTGTTATCTACTTTTCCACTCAGAAGCCAAAGAACTTCCAATTTAAATCAGCTGAAGCCCTTCCTTTCAACCATTCAACGCCTCTTGGTCACACCTGGAAAAAAAATCCACATCCTGGCCATGGCCCGTAAGATCCCACATGACCCAGCTCCCGGGTTGCTCTCTGATCCACTCTCCACCTCTCTGCCATGCCCAGCCACACTGGCCTCTGTCACACTCTTCAGTCTTGCCAAGCACACTGGCATCTCAGGACCTTTGTGCCTGCTGTCCCTGGAAAAGTCTCTCCTCAAAAGGTTCATGCAATTTGCTCTCATTTCATTCAGATCTTGGCTCAAATGTCAATTCCTCACAGAAACCTTCCCTGACCATCCATCTAAAAACACCAATATGCCAGGACCTTTTCTCCTTTCTTGGCTTCACTTTTCTTCAAAGCACTTTTCATTACCTCCTATTACAATCCTATTTTTCTGTCTTCCCCAAGAACGTAATGTCCACGAGGGATTTTCTGTTTTGTTCACCATTGTGTCCCAGGTGCCTACAATAGTGCATTTCACATGTGGTAAGCATCAATAAATATTTATTCAATAAATGAGTCGTTTTTTAGTCTTCTTTTTGTGCATTTAAAAAATATATTTACCCAGTAGTACAAGAATATAATTTATAAATAAAAAATATACTAGGGAGACACACTCAAACATTTTTTACCGAAGGGGTATATAGTAAAAAGGAAAGAAAATTCTGACAATCACAGATGTAACCAATCAACAAGCCAGCACACATGCCCTAAGGAGAACGTCATGGAGAGCCTGTCACTCACTCTCTCAGGAGACTTTGGTCATCTCCAGCTGCTCCTCGCAAGAAGAAAAAACTCCCCATATGGGGTTAAGGCCTTCAACCAACAATTCTGTCCTCTGTCCTTATGTTCCTCTGGAATATTTTGCTAGAAATGAATGGATTGTTTGTTCTGATACAAAGAAGGGTTGATTACTTACTGGTCCTACGCAATTGAGGACAACTGTTGCCTGTTTAGCCATTTCATCAAGCGAGGCTGGATTAGCAATATCACAGATGATGATTCCAACTTCAGATGACAGTGTTGGTCTTCCTAAAATAAGAAACAAATGAAGGAAAGTAAATCCCAGTAGAGGATTATATCTTCCTTATCTTCTTTTTACAGTAATCAGTGACAGCAAATTACTAAATACACTGATATGCTGAAAGCTAGCTCTCCTGCTTAGACAAAAGATAAAACTGTTTTTAATCAGGTAATACAAAAGGAAAAAATTATGAGGAAAACTGAGTTAACACTAAGAGTTACTAAAAAACTGACCTTTTAAAAAAAATCGAATCAAAGCGTTGTGTAAATAACAACCCTGTGTAACATGACAATTTCACAATCAAGTTTAAATGCTGAGCAGATAACTATCCAGACTTCCTCTCCAACAAGAAATTTATGTCATAAAATAGTTTCTTGGCCAGGGGCAGTGGCTCAGCACTTTGGAAGGTCAAGGTGCAAGGATCTCTTGACCTCAGGAGTTCCAGACCAGCTTGGGCAACATAGCAAGACCTTGTCTCTACTAAAAAAAAAAAAAAAATTATCTGACATGGTGGCATAGCCTGTAGTACCAGCTACTCAGGAGGCTGAGGCGGTAGAATCACTTAGACACAGAGGTCAAGGCTGCAGTGAGCTGTGATCACGCCACTGTACTCCAGCCTGGGTGGCAGAATGAGAACTTGTCTTTAAAAAAATAAAGTTTCTCATCAACCACTAAACAATTACTATGATCCAATTGTAGGTGATGGAGAGTTTCGGACTGACTGTTAACATCAAAACCATCAGGGCTGGGTGCAGTGGCTCACGCCTGTAATCCCAGCACTTTGGAAAGCCGAGAAGGGTGGATCACGAGGTCAGCAGATCGAGACCATCCTCACTAACACGGTGAAACCCCGTCTCTACTAAAAAAATTAGCAGGGCGTGGTGGCGGGCGCCTCTAGTCCCAGCTACTCAGGAGGCTGAGGCAGGAGAATGGCAAACAAACAAACAAAAAACAAAAAATTAGAACTCTGAGGTGAAAAGCACACGCTATATAAACACACACAGGCTCATAAGAAAATAATTGGAATTAACTGGCTCAACTAAGTGATGCAGGTTTCAATAGGTGAAGGTATATCCCCCCACAATGAAACTTGATTTGGGCATTATATATGATAAGTGACTAGGCTGTACCGGTACGATCTTGCTGAGCCGAAAAAAGAAATGGAAGCATATATTTTCATAGTAAAATTACTTCTGTTGGAAAAATAACGACCAAAAAGCTCTTTGGTCAGAATTACGTGTTGGTAGTGTCAGCACCAAAAGCTGTAGGAGAGTCCAGCCTACGTGGTGTCTTCTGTACATAACCACGAACAAAAGCACTCCGAGCAGGGCATTGTATGAAAGTAGATTAAACAGAAAGAATGTAGTATTTCCAGAACTCTAATGGGTGTCTGTATAAGGGAAATCTACGGGAGTTAATAGCCAAATTTAAAGGCTACGGAGTCGTAAGTCAGATGTCTCCCCAGCCATGAAGGCAGCAGGATCCGTGTGTCTGTCTCCTCTCTGTCCCATCCTGCACCCCAGACTCGGGACAGGTCTTAGCATGGACAACGTCACTCAATAAATATATGCTCCTTCAATGCTTAGAGAATCAATAAATATATGCTACCTGAATGCTTAGATTATCAATAAATATATGCTACCTGAATGCTTAGATTATCAATAAATACATGCTACCTGAATGCTTAGAGAATACGTAAGCGTCTAAACCAGAAATACACACTTTTTATTCTCTGAAGAGGAAGACTGCTGGAGTATTCTTACACACAAAACAAGAAACTAAAACAGAATAGCCACAAAGACACTGTCAGTACAACTCGTAAGCTTGCTCTCCCGTCCTCAAAACACGAGGCAAAGGGAGACTCCGATCTCCAAGAGACCAAAGCCCTCCTCTCCTCTCCGACCAAACATCTAGAAACCCGCAGATTCAACAGGTGCCCCCGCTGCGGGGCAGGATGAAGCAGAGAGAGGGACAACTCAAGTTCTTGACCATTTCGCCAGGGGAGCTCCCCAAACTGAGGCAGAAATGCAAAAAGCGGGAAAGAGGAGAAGGAAAGAAAAAAAAATGTGTGTGTATATTATACACGCACGCGCACACACACATATAGTTAAGGAGGTGGGACAAAGCTATGGCAGTATTTGAAACATCTCTCCCTCTCCTCTTCTTGTCCTCACGCAGGGCTCGGGGACACGTAGGGCGCATCCCTGCGGGAGAAACGCTCGTTTGGGGCGATGCGGGGTCCCCGGCCCAGCCGCCCGCGCAGCCCCGTCCCGCCCCGCCGCTGTACCCAGCTTCAGGGCCGCCTTCTCCAGCACCCGCTGCAGCTTCTCCCGGGAGCGGCCCGCCACGGCCCAGGGCAGGCGGGAGCTCCGCTCCGGGTCCACCTGCTCCCGGGCCACCTCCTCGGTCACGAACTGGCCGGTGAAGCCAGACGCGCCGAACACCACCAGGTGGAAAGGCCTCTGCTCGGTCGCCATGACGAGTCCACAGCGAGCCCAGGCCCCGGGGCGGGTGGAGTCCACGGCGCCTGCGCCTCAGGCAGCGACCCCAGTACCCGGCGCAGCAACGGCCGCCGTCGCCGCAGCCAGCGCGCCGGGCTCCCTTCACCCCGCGCGCGCCGCCGCGCCAGGGCCGCGCCCACGCCCACGCCGCCTCGCGCGGGAGCCGCGGGTGAGCGGCTTGCTTGGGAGGCTTCCGACGGGAGGTTTCCTAGGGCGGTGGCCCTGGGGGCGAGTCCGCTTCCAAGCCTGGCAGGCGCGGACGGCGGCCCCTAATTCCGTGCGGCGGTTTGTTCTGCAGGGCTCTGGCCGCCCCGGGCAGCGCATCTTCTAGCCCTGCTGGAAGCTGGAGGCGGCAGCCGGTTGTCCTTGTTGCACGTGGGGGTGGAGCAAAGAGTGCGAGAAAATCTGCGGATGGCCTCGGGGATGGCCCACCCCGAGAACCCTTGAGCTTGCTTGCTTTCTTCCTTTCTTTCTTCCCTTTTTTCCCTTTCTTTTCTCTTTTCTGTTTTTGAGATGGAGTCTCACTCTGTCGCCCAGGCTGCAGCGCAGTGGCGCGATCTCGATTTACTGCAACCTTCGCCTCCTGGGTTCAAGCGATTCTGCCTCAGCCTCCCGAGTAGCTGGGATTACAGGGGAGCGCCCCCACGCCCTGCTAATTTTTGTGTTTTTAGTAGAGATGGGTTTTCACCTTGTTGGCCAGGCTGGTCTCGAACTCCTGACCTCAGGTGATCCACCCACCTCGGCCTCCCAAAGGGTCGGGATTACACGCATGAGCCACTGCACCCAGCCCATTCCTGATTTTTAAAAACTCTCATTAAAATAGGAATAAATGAATGCTTTTAAAAATTTTGAAATATATGTCTTGCAAAAAAGGTACAGCCAATAACAAATATGTACCCTCAACACAGCTTAAGAAAAATATTCCAGATAGCGAGGCTTCCAGGTATTCATTCCTGAACACATTTCCTTTTGCGTCCCCAAGACGGCCACTTGCCTGAATTTAGTGTTTATTATTCCTATTCCTATCTTTCTGCTTGTTATATATGTATGTATTTATAAATATTATAGTACCGTTTTGCATATTTTGAATATTTTGTAAATGTCAATCCTGCAGCTTTCTTATTTGGTCATGATGTCGTGAACTTATTCCCAAATGATTCAGAATAAAAAAAAATGTCTGTGATACGTGTGTGGAGAGAGGGAGAGAGAGAGAAATACACCAAATTCTACAATGCTTTTGTACAATGTTGTATAGTGCTTTTGTGCAATATAATACAAAGAATGCTACAATAAAATTCTTGTACCTTTCTCCTAAAGCACCTGTGCGAAAGTGTATTGAATATGTGTCAGGAATGAAAATGGTTGGTGCTAGAATATCCATATTTGAGTTATCTCACTGCTCTTTAAAGCACATGCACTAATTTTCGCTCTCAGCGGGATACAAGAATCCTCTTGCTTTACGTGCTTGTCAGCACTTGGTATTCTCAGACTTCATGCTTGTCCATCTGGTGGGTGTAAAGTAGTAAGCATTCAAGTATTTATTAAACACTTAACTATATACTGGGCACTAGGAATAAAGTACTGGGGATATGGCAACAAATAAAGCCCCTGCCCTCAAGAAGTTTACATTCTAGTGGAGTAAACAGTCACTAAAAAATAATCTTACAGAGCCAGGTACAGTGGCATGCACTTTTAGTCCCAGCTACTTGGGAGGCTGAGGCAGGAGGATTGCTTGAACCTAGGAGTTGGAGGTTATAGTGAGCTACACTCCAGCCTGGGTGACAAAGTGAGATATTGTCTCTAAAAAGAAAATAAAAACAAAAGAAAACAAAAAACCCTAAAAAAACAGAATATATATATATATATATATATATATATATATATATATATATATATTTTGTTTTTTGGGAAGCATGCTTGCTATGGTTTGGATGTTTGGCCCCCCCAAATCACATGTTGAAATGTAATCCCCAGCATTGGAGGTGGGGCCTGGTGGGAGATGTTTGGGTCATGGGGGTGGATCCCTCATGAATGGCTTGGTGCCATCCCCAGGATAATGAGTATGTTCTCTCTGCATAAGTTCATACAAGAGCTGGTAGTTGAAAGAGCACTCATCCTTCTCTCTCTTGGTCTCTCTCTCACCATGTGATACATTGGCTCCATTTCACCTTCTGCCACGATTGGAAGCTTCCTGAGGCCTCACCAGAAGCAGATGCTGGCACTACACTTGATGTACTTCCTGCAGAACCATGAGCCAAAATATAAACTTTTTTCTTTATAAATTAACCAGCCTCAGGCATTCCTTTAAAGCAACGCAAAAATGGACTAACATAATGGTCATTGCAGCATTGCTTTGTAATAACAAAAAGTAGAAATAACTGAAATGTCCTTTATCAGAGGAATTATTAAATAAATTATGGTGTCCTATTCATTCAATAGGAACTGTGCAGCTATAAAGAATGAAGAATGACTATTCAGGTGGTTCTAGGTAAAAAACACACAACAACAACAAAAACAAAAGAATGAAGTAGGCTGGGCACAGTGGCTCACGCCTGTAATCCCAGCAGTTTGGGAAGCCAAGGCAGGAGGATCACTTGAGTCCAGAAGTTTGAGACCAGCCTAGGCAATGTAGCAAGACCCCATTTCTTAAAAAAAAAAAAAAAAAAAAAAAAAATTTTTTTTTTTAATTAGCTGGGTGTGGTGATGTGCATCTGTAGTCCTAGCTACCTGGGAGGCTGAGGTGGGAAGATTGCTTGAGCCCAGGAGTTCGAGGTTACAGTAAATCATGATCACACTACTGCACTGCAGCCTGGGCAACAGAGCAAGGCTATGTTTCTAAAAAAAAAAAAACAAAACAAAACTGTGTATAGTGACACGGAAAATCTTCCAAATTTCCTAACATTACAAGAGTATATTTAAGACAAAACAATGTATGTATATGCACACAAAATGTTAAGAATACATGATAAATCTTTTTTTTATTATACTTTAAGTTTTAGGGTACATGTGCACAACGTGCAGGTTAGTTACATATGTATACATGTGCCATGTTGGTGTGCTGCACCCATTAACTCATCATTTAACATTAGGTATATCTCCTAATGCTATCCCTCCCCCTTCCTCCCACCCCACAACAGGCCCCGGTGTATGATGTTCCCCTTCCTGTGTCCATGTGTTCTCATTGTTCAATTCCCACCTATGAGTGAGAACACGTGGTGTTTGGTTTTTTGTCCTTGTGATAGTTTGCTGAGAATGATGGTTTCCAGTTTCATCCGTGTCCCTACAAAGCACATGAACTCATCATCTTTTTATGGCTGCACAGTATTCCATGGTGTATATATGCCACATTTTCTTAATCCAGTCTAACATTGTTGGACATTTGGCTTGGTTCCAAGAATTGCTATTGTGAATAGTATTGGGGAACCTGCCCCGATATTCACGTAGGTTCTTTTCTATTTTCCCTAAGTGTCGGCCAGCTTGAGAAATAAAGGGACAGAGTACAAAAGAGAGAAATTTTAAAGCCAGGCGTCTGGGGGAGACATCACATGTCAGTAGGTTCTGTGATGCCCCACAAGCCGCAAAAACAAGCAAGTTTTTATTAGGGATTTTCAAAAGGGGAGGGAGTGTGTGAATAGGTGTGGGTCACAGACATCAAGTACTTTACAAGGTAATAGAACATCACAAGGCAAATGGAGGCAGGGCGAGATCACAGGACCACAGGACCGAGGCAAAATTAAAATTGCTAATGAAGTTTCGGGCACCACTGTCATTGATAACATCTTATCAGGAGACAGGGTTTTGAGATCAACTGGTCTGACCAAAATTTATTAGGCGGGAATTTCCTCTTCCTAATAAGCCTTGGAGCCCTATGGGAGACTAGGGTCTATTTCATCCCCTGCAGTCTCAACCATAAAAGACAGGTGCACCTGGGGGGGGGCTGTTTATAGGCCTATACCTCCAGGTGCGTATTCTCTTTCCCAGGGATGTTCCTTGCTGAGAAAAAGAATTCAGTGTTATTTCTCCCATTTGCTTTTGAAAGAAGAGAAATATGGCTCTGTTCTGCCCGGCTCACCGGCACTCAGAATTTAAGGTTATCTCTCTTATTCCCTGAACAATTGCTGTTATCCTGTTGTTTTTTCAAGGTGTCCACATTTCATATTGCTCAAACACACATGCTGTACAATTTGTGCAGTTAATGCAATTATTACAGGGTCCTGAGGTGACATACATCCTCCTCAGCTGACAGGATTAAGAGATTAAAGTAAAGACAGGCATAGGAAATCACAAGGGTATTGACTGGGGAAGTGATAAGTGTCCATGAAATCTTCACAACTTATGTTTAGAGATTGCAGTAAAGATAGGCATAAGAAATTATAAAAGTATTAATTCAGGGAACTAATAAATGTCCATGAAATCTTCACAATCCACGTTCTTCTGCCATGGCTTCAGCCAGTCCCTCCATTTAGGGTCCCTGACTTCCCGCAACAGAATAGTGCCACAATAAACATACGTGTGCATGTGTCTTTATAGCAGCATGATTTATAATCCTTTGGGTATATACCCAGTAATGGGATGGCTGGGTCAAATGGTATTTCTAGTTCTAGATCCCTGAGGAATGGCCACACTGACTTCCACAATGGTTGAACTAGTTTACAGTCCCACCAACAGTGTAAAAGTGTTCCTATTTCTCCACATCCTCTCCAGCACCTGTTGTTTCCTGACTTTTTAATGATTGCCATTCTAACTGGTGTGAGATGGTATCTCATTGTGGTTTTGATTTGCATTTCTCTGATGGCCAGTGATGATGAGCATTTTTTCATGTGTTTTTTGGCTGCATAAATGTCTTCTTTTGAGATGTGTCTGTTCATGTCCTTCGCCCACTTTTTGATAGGGTTGTTTGTTTTTTTCTTGTAAATTTGTTTGAGTTCATTGTAGATTCTGGTTATTAGCCCTTTGTCAGATGAGTAGGTTGCGAAAATTTTCTCCCATTTTGTAGGTTGCCTGTTCACTCTGATGGTAGTTTCTTTTGCTGTGCAGAAGCTCTTTAGTTTAATTAGATCCCATTTGTCAATTTTGTCTTTTGTTGCCATTGCTTTTCGTGTTTTGGACATGAAGTCCTTGCCCACGCCTATGTCCTGAATGGTATTGCCTAGGTTTTCTTCTAGGGTTTTTATGGCTTTAGGTCTAACATTTAAGTCTTTAATCCATCGTGAATTAATTTTTGTTTAAGGTGTAAGGAAGGGATCCAGTTTCAGCTTTCTACCTATGGCTAGCCAGTTTTCCCAGCACCATTTATTAAATAGGGAATCGTTTCCCCATTTCTTCTTTTTTTCAGGTTTGTCAAAGATCAGATAGTTGTAGATATGTGGCATTATTTCTGAGGGCTCTGTTCTGTTCCGTTGGTCTATATCTCTGTTTTGGTACCAGTACCATGCTGTTTTGGTTACTGTAGCTTTCTAGTATAGTTTGAAGTCAGGTAGCATGATGCCTCCAGCTTTGTTCTTTTGGCTTAGGATGGACTTGGCAATGCGGGCTCTTTTTTGGTTCCATATGAACTTTAAAGTAGTTTTTTCCAATTCTGTGAAGAAAGTCATTGGTAGCTTGATGGGGATAGCATTGAATCGGTAAATTACCTTGGGCAGTATGGCATTTTTCACGATATTGATTCTTCCTACCCATGAGCATGGAATGTTCTTCCATTTGTTTGTGTCCTCTTTTATTTCATTGAGCAGTGGTTTGTAGTCCTCCTTGAAGAGGTCCTTCATGTCCCTTGTAAGTTGGATTCCTAGGTATTTTATTCTCTTTGAAGCAATTGTGAATGGGAGTTCACTCATGATTTGGCTCTCTGTTTGTCTGTTATTGGTATATAGGAATGCTTGTGATTTTTGCACATTGATTTTGTATCCTGAGACTTTGCTGAAGTTGCTTATCAGCTTAAGGAGATTTGGGGCTGAGACGATGGGGTTTTCTAGATATATAATCATGTCATCTGCAAACAGGGACAATTTGACTTCCTCTTTTCCTAATTGAATACCCTTTATTTCCTTCTCCTGCCTGATTGCCCTGGCCAGAACTTCCAACACTATGTTGAATAGGAGTGGTGAGAGAGGGCATCCCTCTCTTTTGCCAGTTTTCAAAGGGAATGCTTCCAGTATTTGCCCATTCAGTATGATATTGGCTGTGGGTTTGTCATAGATAGCTCTTATTATTTTGAGATAAGTCCCATCAATACCTAATTTATTGAGAGTTTTTAGCATGCAGTGTTGTTGAATTTTGTCAAGGCCTTTTCTGCATCTATTGAGATAATCACATGGTTTTTGTCGTTGGTTCTGTTTATATGCTGGATTACGTTTATTGATTTGCATATGTTGAACCAGCCTTGCATCCCAGGGATGAAGCCCACTTGATCATGGTGGATAAGCTTTTTGATGTGCTGCTGGATTCAGTTTGCCAGTATTTTATTGAGGATATTTGCATTGATGTTCATCAGGGATATTGGTCTAAAATTCTCATTTTTTGTTGTATCTCTGCCAGGCTTTGGTATGAGGATGATGCTGGCCCCATAAAATGAGTTAGAGAGGATTCCCTCTTTTTCTATTGATTGGAATAGTTTCAGAAGGAATGGTACCAGCTCCTCCTTGTACCTCTGGTAGAATTTGGCTGTGAATCTGTCTGGTCCTGGACTTTTTTTGGTTGGTAAGCTATTAATTATTGCCTCAATTTCAGAGCCTGTTATTGGTCTATTCAGAGATTCAACTTCTTCCTAGTTTAGTCTTGGAAGAGTGTATGTGTCGAGGAATTTATCCATTTCTTCTAGATTTTCTAGTTTATTTGTGTAGAGGTGTTTATAGCATTCTCTGATGGTAGTTTGTATTTCTGTGGGATTGGTGGTGATATCCCCTTTATCATTTTTTATTGCGTCTATTTGATCCTTCTCTCTTTTCTTCTTTATTAATCTTGCTAGTGGTTTATCAATTTTGTTGATCTTTTCAAAAAACCAGCTCCTGGATTCATTGATTTTTTGAAGGGTTTTTTGTGTGTCTATTTCCTTCAGTTCTGCTCGATCTTAGTTATTTCTTGCCTTCTCCTAGCTTTTGAATGTGTTTGCTCTTACTTCTCTAGTTCCTTGAATTGTGATATTAGGGTGTCAATTTTAGATCTTTCCTGCTTTCTCTTGTGGGCATTTAGTGCTGTAAATTTCCCTCTACACACTGCTTTGAATGTGTCCCAGAGATTCTGGTATGTTGTGTCTTTGTTCTCGTTGGTTTCAAAGAACATCTTTATTTCTGCCTTCATTTCGTTATGTACCCAGTAGTCATTCAGGAGCAGGTTGTTCAGTTTCCATGTAGTTGAGTGGTTTTGAGTGAGTTTCTTAATCCTGAGTTCTAGTTTGATTGCACTGTGGTCTGAGAGACAGTTTGTTATAATTTCTGTTCTTTTACATTTGCTGAGGAGTGCTTTACTTCCAACTATGAGGTCAATTTTGGAATAAGTGCAGTGTGGTGCTGAGAAGAATGTATATTCTGTTGATTTGGGGTGGAGAGTTCTGTAGATGTCTATTAGGTCCGCTTGGTGCAGAGCTGAGTTCAATTCCTGGGTATCCTTGTGAACTTTCTGTCTCATTGATCTGTCTAATGTTGACAGTGGGGTGTTAAAATCTCCCATTATTATTGTGTGGGAGTCTAAGTCTCTTTGTAGGTCTCTAAGGACTTGCTTTATGAATCTGGGTGCTCCTGTATTGGGTGCATATATATTTAGGATAGTTAGCTCTTCTTGTTGCATTGATCCCTTTACCATTATGTAATGACCTTCTTTGTCTCTTTTGATCTTTGTTGGTTTAAAGTCTGTTTTATCAGAGACTAGGATTGCAACCCGTGCTTTTTTTTGTTTTCCATTTACTTGGTAGATCTTCCTCCATCCCTTTATTTTGAGCCTATGTGTGTCTCTGCATGTGAGATGGGTTTCCTGAATACGGCATACTGATGGGTCTTGACTCTTTATCCAATTTGCCAGTCTGTGTCTTTTAATTGGAGCATTTAGCCTGTTTACATTTAAGGTTAATATTGTTATGTGTGAATTTGATCCTGTCATTATGATGTTAGCTGGTTATTTTGTTCGTTAGTTGATGCAGTTTCTTCCTAGCCTTGATGGTCTTTACAATTTGGCATGGTTTTGCAGTGGCTGGTACTGGTTGTTCCTTTCCATGTTTAGTGCTTCCCTCAGGAGCTCTTGTAGGGCAGGCCTAGTGGTGACAAAATCTCTCAGCATTTGCTTGTCTGTAAAGGATTTTATTTCTCCTTCACTTATGAAGCTTAGTTTGGCTGGATATGAAATTCTGGGTTGAAAATTCTTTTCTTTAAGAATGTTGAATATTGGCCCCCCACTCTCTTCTGGCTTATAGAGTTTCTGCTGAGAGATCAGCTGTTAGTCTGATGGGCTTCCCTTTGTGGGTAACCCGAGCTTTCTCTCTGGCTGCCCTTAACATTTTTTCCTTCATTTCAACTTTGGTGAATCTGACAATTATGTGTCTTGGAGTTGCTCTTCTCGAGGAGTATCTTTGTGGTGTTCTCTGTATTTCCTGAATTTGGATGTTGGCCTGCCTTGCTAGATTGGGGAAGTTCTCCTGGATAATATCCTGCAGAGTGTTTTCCAACTTGGCTCAATTCTCCCTGTCACTTTCAGGTATATCAATCAGACATAGATTTGGTCTTTTCACATAGTCCCATATTTCTTGGAGGCTTTGTTCATTTCTTTTAATTCTTTTTTCTCTAAACTTCTCTTCTTGCTTCATTCCATTCATTTGATCTTCCATCACTGATACTCTTTCTTCCAGTTGATCAAATGAGCTACTGAGGCTTGTGGATTCGTCACATAGTTCTCATGCCTTGGTTTTCAGCTCCATCAGGTCCTCTAAGGACTTCTCTGCATTGCTTATTCTAGTTAGCCATTCATCTAATTTTTTTTCAAGGTTTCTAACTTCTTTGCCATGGGTTCGAACTTCCTCCTTTAGCTTGGAGTAGTTTGATCGTCTGAAGCCTTCTTCTCTCTATTTGTCAAAGTCATTCTCCATCCAGCTTTGTTCCATTGCTGGTGAGGAGCTGCACTCCTTTGGAGGAAGAGAGGTGCTCTGATTTTTAGAGTTTCCAGTTTTTCTGCTCTGTTTTTTCCCCATCTTTGTGGTTTTATCTACCTTTGGTCTTTGATGATGGTGACGTACAGATGGGGTTTTGGTGTGGATGTCCTTTCTGTTTGTTAGTTTTCCTTCTAACAGTCAGGACCCTCAGCTGCAGGTCTGTTGGAGTTTGCTGGAGGTCCACTCCAGACCCTGTTGGCCTGGGTATCAGCAGCGGAGGCTGCAGAACAGCGGATATTGGTGAGCAGCAAATGTTGCTGCCTGATCGTTCCTCTGGAAGTTTTGTCTCAGAGGAGTACCCGGCCGTGTGAGGTGTCAGTCTGCCCCTACTGGGGGGTGCCACCCAGTTAAGCTACTCGGGGGTCAGGGACCCACTTGAGGAGGCAGTGTGTCCATTCTCAGATCTCCAGCTGCGTGCTGGGAGAACCACTACTCTCTTCAAAGCTGTCAGACAGCGACATTTAAGTCTGCAGAGGATTCTGCTGCCTTTTGTTTGGCTATTCCCTGCCCTCAGAGGTGGGGTCTACAGAGGCAGGCAGGCCTCTGTAAGAAATATGGGACTATGTGAAAAGACCAAATCTATGTCTGATTGATATACCTGAAAGTGACAGGGAGAATTGAGCCAAGTTGGAAAACACTCTGCAGGATATTATCCAGGAGAACTTCCCCAATCTAGCAAGGCAGGCCAACATTCAAATTCAGGAAATATAGAGAACACCACAAAGATACTCCTCGAGAAGAGCAACTCCAAGACACATAATTGTCAGATTCGCCAAAGTTGAGCTGCGGTGGGCTCCACCCAGTTCGAGCTTCCCAGCCGCTTTGTTTACCTATTCAAGCCTTGGCAATGGCGGGCGCCACCCCCCAGCCTCGCTGCTGCTTTGCAGTTCGATCTCAGACTGCTGTGCTAGCAATGAGTAAGCATCCCTTTCTATATTGTTCAAACTTTTTAACAATAATTTATACAATAATTATTTTATAATTTATAATAGTAAGTTTTTTAAAGGAGCAAGGGCTGATTTTCAGAAGGGCCCGAGGGGCAACTGTGGGAATCACACCCCACCATCGGCAGTTCTGACACTGAGGCCATGTTCCTGTTGCTTCCAGGGAACTTAATTTTTTTGTCCATCATAACATACAACAATATGAATGAATCCCACAAACACTAATCCGAGCAGAAAGCCAAACAGAGAACATCTGTGTCATTCGTTTCCTCTAAAGCTCAAGAGCAGGAAAAACCAACTTACTGGGACAGGAATCTTGGAACAATTTGCTTTTGTGTAGAGCAGTCCCAGGTCTAGCCCTTCTTGAAGCAATTCTTCATCTAAAGGATTTCCAAGGAATTCATTCTCTCCAGGGGCCAGCAGACAGCTTGATTTCTGCACCAAAGTTAGTGCCAAGAAAAAGGGAAGACCCCCTTCTCCTCCAAAAGAAGACAAGGTTGGCTTATGGACAGGCTCTTAGCCACCACCTTCACAAAGTCAAAAGCTGGGTGTTCTGAAGCTCGAGGGTGAAGGGTAGGACTAGGGGCACGAGAAGATAGAAGAATGCCTGCAACATCAGTTGTAACTATTTCCTAGGTGACAAAGATCCTCTCCTCAACCAAACTCTAGCCAGGTGACAAAGATCCTCTCCTCGACCAAGCTCTAGCCAGGTGACAAAGATCCTCTCCTCGTCCAAGCTCTAGCCAGGTGACAAAGATCCTCTCCTGGACCAAGCTCTAGCCAAGTGACAAAGATCCTCTCCTCGCCCAAGCTCTAGCCAGGTGACAAAGATCCTCTCCTGGACCAAGCTCTAGCCAGGTGACAAAAATCCTCTCCTCGACCAAGCTCTAGCCAGGTGACAAAGATCCTCTCCTCGACCAAGCTCTAGCCAGCTGACAAAGATCCTCTCCTGGACCAAGCTCTAGCCAGGTGACAAAGATCCTCTCCTCGACCAAGCTCTAGCCAGGTGACAAAGATCCTCTCCTCGACCAAGCTCTAGCCAGGTGACAAAGATCCTCTCCTCGACCAAGCTCTAGCCAGGTGACAAAGATCCTCTCCTCGACCAAGCTCTAGCCAGGTGACAAAGATCCTCTCCTCAACCAAGCTCTAGGCAGGTGACAAAGATCCTCTCCTGGACCAAGCTCTAGCCAGGTGACAAAGATCTTCTTTGTCTGGAATTGGTTCCTTCTGGTGGGTTCTTGGTCTTGCTGACTTCAAGAATGAAGCCGCGGACACTTGCAGTGAGTGGTAAAGTTCTTAAAGATGGTCTGTCCAGAGTTTGTTCCTTCAGATGTTCAGATGTGTCCAGAGTTTCTTCCTTCTGGTGTGTTCGTGGTCTCACTGACTTCAGGAGTGAAGCCACAGACCTTCACAGTGAGTGTTACAGCTCTTAAAGGTGGTGCATCTGAAGTTGTTCTTTCCTCCTGGTGGGTTCGTGATCTCAGCTGGCTTCAGGAGTGAAGCTGCAGACCTTCACGGTGAGTGTTACAGCTCATAAAGGTAGTGTGGACCCAAAGATTGAGCAGCAGCAAGATTTATTGCGAAGAGCAAAAGAATGGCAGGGTGCCCGAGGGGGTTGCCCCTGCTGGCTAGGGTGGCCAGCTTTTATTTCTTTCTTTTGCTCCACCCACATCCTGCTGATTGGTCCATTTTACAGAGTGCTGATTGGTCCATTTTACAGTGCTGATTGGTCCATTTTTACAGAGTGCTGATTGGTGCGTTTACAAACATTTCGCTAGACACAGAGTGCTGATTGGTGCATTTTTACAGAGTGCTGATTGGTGTGTTTAGAAACCTTTAGCTAGACACAGAGCACTGATTGGTGCATTTACAATCCTTTAGCTAGACAGAAAAGTTCTCCAAGTCCCCACCCAATTAGCTAGACACAGAGTGCTGATTGGGGTGTTTACAAACCTTTAGCTAGACACAGAACACTGATTAGTGCATTTACAATCCTTTAGCTAGACAGAAAATTTCTCCAAGTCCCCACCCGACCCAGAAGCCCAGCCAGCTTCACCTCTCACTCTCCTTGACCAAGCTCTAGCCAGGTGACAAAGATCCTCTCCTTGACCAAACTCTAGACAGGTGACAAAGATCCTCTCCTCTACCAAACTCTAGCCAGGTGACAAAGATCCTTTCCTTGACCAAACTCTAGCCAGGTGACAAAGATCCTCTCCTCGACCAAACTCTAGACAGGTGACAAAGATCCTCTCCTCGACCAAACTCTAGCCAGGTGACAAAGATCCTCTCATTGACCAAACTCTAGCCAGGTGACAAAGATCCTCTCATTGACCAAACTCTAGTGAGGTGACAAAGATCCTTTCCTCTACCAAACTCTAGCCAGGTGACAAAGATCCTCTCATTGACCAAACTCTAGCCAGGTGACAAAGATCCTCTCCATGACCAAACTCTAGCCAGGTGACAAAGATCATCTCCATGACCAAACTCTAGTCAGGCTCCTCTGAGCCTGGTTATGCACGAGTCTCATCCTTGGCCTGTAAAGACTTGAACAAACAGTAACACAGTTTCTAACAGCTCAACTCCCCTCCCCCAGCATGATCCTACCCACACTCTTCACGTAGCTGCCTGAGAGAAAGCTCAAGGCTGCCCCAATAATTTGTTGCTTGTTCTAGCCAGCACCTGAAGACAGGGCCCCTGTCGCCCAGCCTCCTTGGGGGGCTAGGTGCCTAGCTTCCAAAAGCACCAGTTGGTTAGCAAACCCAGAGAAGTTTCACGTTGATCAAGTCCCCCAGTATAGTTTGAATGCCTGTCCCCTCCAAATCTCATGTTGAAATGTGATCCCCAGTGTTGGAGGTGGGGCCTAGTGGGAGGTGGTTGTGTGTCCGGAATTGGTTCCTTCCAGTGGGTTCTTGGTCTTGCTGACTTCAAGAATGAAGCCACGGACCCTTGCAGTGAGTGTTACAGTTCTTAAGGATGATGTGTCCAGAGTTTCTTCCTTCAGATGTTCAGATGTGTCCAGAATTTCTTCCTTCTGGTGGGTTCATGGTCTTGCTGACTTCAGGAGTGAAGTCACAGACCTTTGCAGTGAGTGTTACAGCTCTTAAAGATGGCGTGTCCAGAATTGTTTGTTCCTTCCGGTAGGCTCGTGGTCTTGCGGACTTCAGCAGTGAAGCTGCAGACCTTCACGGTGAGTGTTACAGCTCATAAAGGTGGTGCGTCCAGAGTTGTTTGTTCCTCCCAGTGGGTCTGTGGTCTCACTGACTTCAGGAGTGAAGCTGCAGACCTTCACAGTGAGTGTTACAGCTCATAAAGGTAGTGCAGACCCAAAGAGTGAGCAGCAGCAAGATTTATTGTGAAGAGCAAAAGAACAAAGCTTCCACACCATGGAAGGGGACCCGAGTGGGTTGCCTCTGCTGGGTTGGGTGGCCAGCTTTTATTCCCTTATTTGGCCTTGCCCACATCCTGCTGATTGGTCCATTTTACAGAGTGCCAATTGGTCCATTTTACAGAGTGCTGATTGGTCCATTTTTACAGAGTGCTGATTGGTGCGTTTACAAACCTTTAGCTAGACACAGAGCGCTGATTGGTGAGTTTTTACAGAGTGCTGATTGGTGTGTTTATAAACCTTTAGCTAGACACAGAGCACTGATTGGTGCGTTTACAATCCTTTAGCTAGACAGAAAAGTTCTCCAGGTCCCCGCCTGACACAGAAGCCCAGCTGGCTTCACCTCTCAGTTGGGTCATGGAAGTGGATCCTTCACGAATGGCCTGGTGACATCCCCATAGTAATAAGTGAGCTCTCACTCTATTAGTTCATGTGGGAGCTACTTGTTTAAGACAGCCAAGTATTGCCTCCTCTCTCTCTTGCCCCCACTCTCACCATGTGATGTGCCTGCTCCCTCTTTGCCTTCCACCATGATGGTAAGCTTCCCGCCATGTGACATGCCTGCCCCCTCTTCACCTTCTACCATGAGGGTAAACTTCCCGAGGTCCTCATCAACCATGAGTCAAATAAACCTCTTTTCTTGATAAATTACCTGGTCTCAGGTATTCCTTTATAGCAACACAGAATGGACTAATTTACCACCCCCCTTCTACTTTTTGTAATTTTTCATTTCCCTGACTCTCCTGAGCCCTCACTTACCCTTCCCTCTTCCCTCATCCTCCCTTTAAAATGCCTAGTCACCTCTGACTGGGTTCAGAAGTTGAGTTCAGCTCATGCTAGACTCGTTTTCACTTTGCAATAGTATATTACTGATTAAAATCTGTCCTTCCACCTTGTTTATCTTTGACATAGGAAATCAGAAAGAGACAAATAAAGGAACGCCCAGGTAGTCCAAAAGTCCATTTGAAGCTGAAAGTGAGAAGGAAGCTGAACTTGCCACACTTAGGAAGTGGTATGGCAGCTGTGGCTAAATGTGAAGGGAAGAAGTCATGGGGAGTCATCTATGAAAAATCATGGTTTTTTTTTTTTTTTGCAACTTTTGATTACCTGAATTATTTGCTGATCTCTAGTAGATAAGAGAAAGAAACAAAAAGCAAGGAAAGTAGCTAATCCAATTCAGAAATTCCATCATGTACTGCCACATTTTATTTTATTATTACCATTATTTTTTGAGACAGAGTCTCACTCTGTCACCCAAGCTGGAGTGCAGTGGCACTGTCACAGCTCACTGCAGCCTCAACATCAGGGCTCAAGTGATCCTCCACCTCTGCCTCCCGAGTAGCTGAAACCTCAGGTGCACACCATCATGCCTGGTTAAATTTCAAATTATTTGTAGAGACGAGGCCTCACTATGTTGCCCAGGCTGGTCTCGACCTCTTGGCCCCAAATGATATGCCTACCTCAGCCTCCCAAACTGCTGGGATTACAGGTGTGAGCCACCATGCTTGGCCAGCTGCCCCATTTTAGAACATGTTTTTGTCTCAGCATACTGAAAGTTGCACAATAGTACAACACAGGCCTACCTCCCAATACCTGGTCCTTCTACCAAGCTCTGCGCATCATGCTGGAATGGCACAGCGAAAAGGAGTTAGTCCAGGCTGACCTTTTAGGTATGCAGCAGAAACTAAGTGCTTTTATTGTCAATTAAGCAGCTACTTCTATTTTTTTCCTTTTTTTCCCTTCTAGGTATCATTTTTTCCTTTTTTCTACTATTAAACTAAAAATCTATTTGTCATTAAAAGTTCTTTGTGCAAATCCTCAGAAGCCTAGGGCTTTATTATTTTTAATGTTTTTATTTTTAATAAGGGAGGCATCCAATGGTGAAGTAAAAATCACTCATACCACCTTTATGAAAGCCAACTGTTAAATTTTCAGCACCGTTGGAAATCAGACATGGTTTACAGCCATGGCTGGATTTACACCAGGGGCTCTGACACACTCTACAAATCATGTTTATCCCCCCAGAGAGTGGATTGTTAAATACTTATCAGCAAACTACAGGAAGGAAGGAAGGAAGGAAGGAGAGAAGGAGGGAAGCAGGGAAGGAGGGAGGGAGGGAGGAGGAAAGAGAGAAATCAAGGACTTTGTGGAAACCAGAAGCTTGCAAAAATCTCTTTTATTTTTTATTTTTATTTTTTGGGATGGAGTCTCGCTCTGGTGCCCAGGCTGGAGTGCAGTAGTGCAATCTCAGCTCACTGCAACCTCTGCCTCCCAGGTTCAAGCAATTCTCATGTCTTGGCCTCCCAAGTAGCTGGGATTACAGGTGCACACCACGACGCACGGCTAAGTTTTGTATTTTTAGTAGAGATGGGGTTTCACCACGTTGGCCAGGCTGGTCTCGAATGCCTGACCTCAAGTGATCCGCCCGCCTCGGCCTCTCAAAGTGCTGGGATTTCAGGCTTGAGTCACCGCTCCCTCCCAAAAATCTCTAAAAAATTAAAAATTGATTTAATAGAGTAGGGAATCTATCTTCCTGATTCCCCCCATCAATGATTCATTTTGGTACAGCCAAGTTACTCAACTCTGGTTTCTTGGCTTCCTTGTGGGTAAAAAGATAATAAGGCCTGATAACAAGAGTCTGTTTTATAAAAATCTAGCAAAGCACACATATATTTAAGCAGTAATAATATTCACTTGTGAAATTAGTGTACATCATGATATAAGTGGTATAATTTGGTCAAGCAATACCATCTTCAAATAATGACCTGAAGAATCATGATCATCTTTCCCAATTTAGCTCTTTCTAAATTTTAAAAAAATGTAAGGACAGGATCCTATGAAGCAAAATTTAATTTAATCTTCCAATATGCACAAAAATTTACCAGAAATTTCTCAAAAGACTGTCTTCACCAAACAATGTGAACCTTCCTGCCAATGCCCAAGGGAGGCCAGCACCCATCCACAGAGTATTGTATTGATGTTTTTATGCTGCTGTGTTTAATTTTCAACGAGCATGATAGTTTTGAAACACACACACACAAATTAACCTTGTGTGACACTCAGTGCCTACTATGTTAGGAAGCAAATTCATTTTAGACACTGCTATTTTGGCCAGAGGTAGAGGATTCATTTTATTAAGCTATAGTGAAAGCAAGCTCTTCAATCAACCTTTGGGCCTGTGTTACAAAGACCAAATTTTGAAACACTTGCCTATGAGGAAACTCGAAACCACATCACACTATCAGTTTCCTGGTAGGATGGGCAGTCAGACACAATATTCATTGTGCATTTCCAATGGACTCACAGTAATCCCAGCTACTTGGGAGGCTGAGGCAGGAGAATCGCTTGAACCCGGGAGGTGGAGGTTGCAGTGAGCCAAGATCACACCGCTGCACTCCAGCCTGGGTGACAGAGCGAGATTGCATCTCCAAAAAAAAAAAAAAAAGAAAGAAAGAAAAGAAAATCTCCTTTAAAAAATGTTATTTAATTTTAAAACATCTTATTCATACATTCATTCATTTCTCCACTCATTTCTTAAATAAACATCTCAAGCCTGAAGTAGGCCCTGGTATTGCAAAGATGAACAAGATAGTTCCTGATCACGTGGATTTTTAGCATGGCGGAGGAAACAGTAATAGTAAAACTTCTAATTATCAAAAGACTTATGCCCACAATCCCACCAAAGATTTACAATTATTTTTGGGTCTTTCTGATCTTTATTCACACGTGCTCATCGTTTATACATGTTTAAAAGTATAATGTGAATACAATTTGGTGTTCTACCTTTTATTCTTAGCTTTTTCAATCTTTTTTTGGGTGGAGGGAGAAAGGCTGGAGAAGTGGAAGGTTAAAGCCCTGGAATGAAATCCTCCCTGACCTTCCCCATTCCTGTACATTCTGCACTGCAGCCAGGGGCAGGAGGACTGGTATCTACCAAATCCCTGAGGGCAATCTGCACCTTTGCAAGCCTCTGCTAGGTGACTTTTTTTTTTCTATTTCTATTTCTTTCCCTTTTTTTTCCTGTGTGTGTGTGTGTGTGTGTGTGTGTGTGTGTGTGTGTGTCTCCTTCAATTTTTTTCATCTCTGTGTTAAAGTTTTCCTGATAGATATCTTTCACCTCCTTGGTTAAATTTATTTCTAGGTATTTTTATTTTTGTAGCTATTGTAAATGGTGGTGCAAACTCAGCTCACTTTAACCTCCACGTCCCCAAGCTCAAGTGATCCTCCCACCTCAGCCTCCCAAGTACCTGGGACCAGGCTGAGTAGGCTGAGGAGGAACAGGTGGGGTTGGTCTTGCTGTCTCAAGGGCAGCAGAGATGGAGATGGAAGAAAGTTTACGTATAAGTAGATCTGTGAAGTTCAAACCTGCGTTGTTTAAGGATCAACTGCAAAGATCATATTGTCTGCAAATAGGCCATTTGATTCCTCATTTCCAATTTGGATACCCTTTATTTCTTTCTCTTGCCAATTGCTCTGGCTGGGTCCTTAACGTTTTTAAATTGTATATGTTTAAGGTATAGAATATAATGTTTTGGTGCACTTAATAAATATCCTTAACATTATTTGATGGCCATTTTTTTCTGATTTCACATTATATTCAAATTAACGAAAAAAATCCACATAGTACTGGTAGACATAATTTAAGTACTTCCCTACAGATGTACATTTAGACCTTTTCCAATTTGTCACTTTTTTTTTTTTTTAAGACGGACTCTTGCTTTGTCTCCAGGCTGGAGTGCAGTGGTGTGATCTCGGCTCACTGCAACCTCCTGTAATCTCTGCCTCCCAGGTTCAAGCGATTCTCCTGCCTCAGCCTCCCAAGTAGCTGGGATTACAGGTGCATGCCACCATGCCTGGCTAATTTTTTGAATTTTAGTAGAGACGGGGTTTCACCATGTTGGCCAGGATGGTCTCAATCTCCTGACCTTGTGATCCGCCCGCCTCGGCCTCCCAAAGTGCTGGGATTAGAGGCGTGAGCCACCGCGCCTGGCTCACTATACATATTCTTATATAACTTTTCCTTCTTAATAATCGTATTAGAGTAAATTTCCACATCTAAGATTACCGTGCCAAAAGCTCTTGCTCTCTATCCTGTATTTCACATCTATGGTACGTTTATTGAAGTATGGCTTGGGCCTGTCTGTATATATCAGTACGTGAACCTGAACTACTTCTATGGCCATTGCAAACATAAAGGTCTGGGGAAGCAAAATCTTGGTGAACAAATAGAGTTTCCAAACTTTTTTACTAGATCATGTTTTGATAATGGGGGAGGGAAAGTAGTGTCTTTCTTTACTTATGAATCATAGCAATAAGTAATTGGTTATTTAGCCTTCCAGAAAATAGATTCTGACTTATGTTTATGGGCAGAAAAGATTTCCCACAAGATATTTGGGCGTTGTCTGAATGTCTGAAATTGCTCAACTCACTTGCTACATTCTTTCAGTACTGCCTCACTATAGAAAGAACCAGAGAGATGGAAAATAAGTTTACCACTAAGACGGTTTTACATCACATTCTTTCAGTACGGCCTCACTATAGAAAAAAACAGAGAAAGGGAAAATAAGTTTACCATTAAGATGGTTTTACACCACATTCTTTTTCTCTTTGAGATTTATTTTTTAAAAAATCTTCGAGTCAGGTCAGGCACATTCACGCCTGCCATCTCAACACTTTGGGAGGCTGAGGCAGAAGGATCACCTGAGCCCAGGAGTTTGAGACTAGCCTGGGCAACATAATGAGATCCTGACTCTACAGAAAAATAGGAAAATTAGCCAGGAGTGGTGGTGCACACCTGTAGTCCCAGCTACTCAGGAGACTGAGAGGGGAGGATCACTTGAGCCCAGGAGTTCAAGGCTGCAGTAAGCTATGATCATGCCACTGTACTCCAGCCTGGATGACAGAGCAAGACCCCATCTCAAAAAAAAAAAAAAAAAAAATCTCCAAGTCCACAGAAAGATTAAAAAATGATAATAATACAATAAATACCCATATGCTCTTCTTAATTCACTAATTGTTAACATTTTGCCACTGTTTTTCTCTATCTCCATACATATATTTTTTTCTGAACCATTTAAAAGTTGCAAATATACTGACCTTCGCCCCTAAAATTTTCTAGCATTCACTTATTTCTTGAGAACAAAGACATTCTCCTACATAATCATAGCACCATTATCACACTGAAGAAATGTAACATTGTTACAATAATATGAACTAATAGCTGGAATATATTCACATTTCAAATTGTCTTGAAAATGTCTCATAATATTTTTTAAAATCCAGGCTTCAATCTTCAATCGAGGATTATACATTTGGTTGTCATGTCTCTTTAACCTCCTGGAATCTGGAAGAGTAACCTCTTTTAAAAAAATCTTTTATGACTGACATTTTTGAAGAGTTCAGGCCAGTTGACATGTAGAATGTCACACAATCTGGATTTGTCTGACTGTATCCTCAGAATTGGATCCAGGTTTAAAAATTCAGCAAGAATACTACATTGGTGATTTTTTTTTTTTTTTTTAACAGTCTTGCTCTTGTCGCCCAGGCTGGAGCAGTGGTGCAGTCTTGGCTCACTGCAACCTCCACCCCCCAGGTTCAAGCGATTCTCCTGCCTCAACTTCCCGTGTAGCTGGGATTACGGTGTGCACCGCCATGCCTGGCTGATTATTGTGTTTTTAGTAGAGATGGGGTTTCGCCATGGTAGCCAGGCTGGTCTCAAACTCCTGACCTCAAGCAATCCACCCACCTTGGCCTCTCAAAGTGCTGGGATTACAAGTGTGAGCCACCGCCTGCATTGGTGATTTTAGTAGGAACTATTCTAAGGTGATCCCCAAACGACCCTTGTCCTTGTGTCACTTCCTTCCCGTAAATGTAGGTAGAGCCTGTGAATGTGAAGAGCTGCCGCTCCTGTGGCTATGTGACCTTCAACGACGAGGAATTTCACAGATGTAGTTAAGGTCTCAAATAAATTTATCTGAAATTTGAGAGATTACTCAAATGGGCCTAGCCATTTAAATCCTGGTCTAGAGATCAAGACGGAGGAAGCCAGAAATGTGAATTTCAAGAAGGGCTCAATGTGTCTTTGATGGCTTAAAGATACAGGAAACCCCAGGGCCGGGAGTGCAGGGAGCCTCTCGGAGCTGAAGCAGCTCCTGGCTGACAGCCAGCGAGGAAACCAGGAAACCTGGGTCTTGCAACCACAAGGAACTGAATTCTGCCAACGACAAGAATGAGTTTTAAAGCAGATTTTGCCCGGAGCCTCCAGATGGGAACTCAGCCTGGTCCGCAACTTGATTTCAGCCCAGACATGCTGTGCCAGGCTTTTTTATTTATTTATGTAGAGAAGGAGTCTCGCTCTGTTGCCCAGGCTGGAGTGCAGTGGCGTGATCTCGGCTTGCTACGCTACAACCTCTGCCTCCCGGGTTCAAACGATTCTTCTGCCTCAGCCTCCTGAGTAGCTGGGATTACAGGCGCGTGCCACCATGCCCAGCTAATTTTTGTATTTTCAGTAGAGATGGGGTTTCACCATGTTGGCCAGGCTGGTCTCGAATACCTGACCTCAGGTGATCCACCCACCTCAGCCTCCCAAAGTGCTGGGATTACAGGTGTGAGCCACCGCACCCAGCCAGCAGTTTTCTAATTCTATTGTTCCTTCTGTATTTATCAGCTGGAAGTTGGGAAAATAATTTCTTCATCAACTATTTGTTTACTCTGAAATATTACTGCTAAGGAAAAACAGGAAAAAATACCTGATTTTTTCTTTTTACCAATTTTCAAGATGATAACAGATCAAGTAATATTTTTAGAATCATTATAAACTAATGGGTTTTTATTTGTTTAATATGTTTCAATACATCACAGTCAAAATTTTTCTTGATATTCAAATTGTCCCATCTTTGGCCACTAGTATTCCCTTCAAGTTAGCATCTGTATTCTTTTTTTCTTCTTTATTGAGGTATAAAATAAATATAATAAAGTTTTAAAATACATTACCCTGAAATGTAGAAATCATTGAATTTTAATATATATACGCACCCTGCAACCACCACTCAGATCAAGATACAGGATGTTCCCAGCACCAGAGGATTTCCCTGTACTCCTTTTCATTCAGCACCATCCTCTCCAGGGGTAACCACTATTCTGATTTATTGAACTTCATATAAAAGGAATCATTCAGCCAGGTGCAGTGGCTCACACCTGTAATCCCAGCACTTTGGGAGGCCGAGGTGAGTGGATCACCTAAAGTCGGGAGTTTGAGACCAGCCTGGCCAACGTGGTGAAACCCCATCTCTACTAAAGATACAAAAATTAGCCAGGTGAGGTGGCACATCCCTGTAATCCCAGCTACTCGGGAGGCTGAGGCAGGAGAATCACTTGAACCTGGGAGGCGGAGCTCGCAGTGAGCCAAGATCGTGCCACTGCACTCCAGCCTGGGCAACAGAGCGAGACTCTGTCTCAAGAAAAGAAAGGAATCATTTGGTATGCACTCTTTTTGTATCTGGTTTCTTTCATTCAGCATAATGTCTAAGATTCATCCATATTGCTGCATATATCAGTAATTCCTTATTTTTATTGCTGTATAACACTATGCCATATGAATATAGTTTTTAGTTAAATTTTTATTCTTTTTTTCCTTTTTTTTTTTCTTTGTGAGATGGAGTCTCACTCTGTTTCCCCGGCTGGAGTGCAATGGCGCAATCTTAGCTCACTGCAATCTCCGCCTCCCGGGTTCAAGTGATTTTCCTGCCTCAGCCTCCCGAGTAGCTGGGACTACAGGTATGCACCACCACACTCAACTTATTTTTGTATTTTTGGTAGAGATGGGGTTTCACCATGTTGGCCAGGCTGGTCTCAAACTCCTGACCTCAAGTTATCCACCCACTTTGGCCTCCCAAATTGGTCGGAGTATAGGCATGAGCCACTGTGCCTGGCCAGTTTAGTTTTTTGTTTGTTTGCTTTTTGTTTTTTGATTTTTGTTTTTTTTTTTGAGACAGAGTCTTGCTCTGTCGCCCAGGCTGGAGTGCAGTGGTGCGATCTCGGCTCACTGCAAGCTCCGCCTCCTGGGTTCACGCCATCCTCCTGCCTCAGCCTCCCAAGTAGCTGGGACTACAGGCGCCCGCCACCACGCCCGACTAATTTTTTTTTTGTATCTTTAGTAGAGATGGGGTTTCACTATGTTGGCCAGGATGGTCTTGATCTCCTGACCTTGTGATCCACCCGCCTCGGCCTCCCAAAGTGCTGGGATTACACGTGTGAGCAGTTTAGTTTTTATTCTGCTGCTGATAGCTAATTGGGACACTTCTAGCTTTACTATTATGAATAAGGCTGCTCTGAACTTTCTCATACACAAGGCTTACTACTCAAGTGTACTCATTTCTCTTGGATTTATACCTAGGAGTGAAATTGCCAGAGTAAAGGGTAGGTGTATGTTTAGCTCTGGTAGATCCTGCTAAGCAGTTTTCAAAAGTGGCTGCTTCGGTTAACACTTCAACTAGTAACTGATGAGAGAAAGTTCCAGTTGCTCCCTAACATCATCAACACTTGGTATTCCCCATCCTTTTAATTTTTGAGTTGTTATGTAATGATATTTCATTGCACTTTTAATGTGTGTTTACCTGGTAACTAATGATATAGATCACATTTTCTTATGTCTTTTGGTCATTTGGATATCCTCTTTTTTTTTTTTTTGAGACAGAATCTCGCTCTGTTGCCCAGGCTGGAGTGCAGTGGTGCAATCTCGGCTCACTGCAAGCTCCGTCTCCCGGGTTCACGCCATTCTCCTGCCTCAGCCTCCCAAGTAGCTGGGACTACAGGCGCCGGCCACCACACCCGGCTAATTTTTTGTACATTTAGTAGAGACGGGGTTTCACCATGTTAGCCAGGATGGTCTTGATCTCCTGACCTCGTGATCCACCCGCCTCAGCCTCCCAAAGTGCTGGGATTACAGGCATGAGCCACCGCACCCGGCTATAATCAGAATAATTTATTATGAAAATTAAAATATTCTCAAAATGAGTAAGGAGGATTAACATGTGACATCTAATGAAACATATTGATTTAATCATGTATGGCCTCCAGCTAATTACACACCCACATCTAGCTGTGAGACACACTCTGCTGTTGCCAACTGTCATCTGCACATGTAAGTTTCCAAATTCCATAAGTGAGGTGACTCGAAGTCATAAGAGAAAACTATATTTTGGTTGCCTGATAGTGACTCTCATCTCTGCCTTCCAAGAATCTATGCAGAACTGTGAGGAATCCAGGTTTTGTTTCATCCAGACCCAGGCTTGCCACGAGACATACCTTTAGGCTGCCTGGCATGTATTAATATTCCAGGAAACGGTGCGTTATGCTGGGTTTGGGCCTTTTTTCATTCTATTTCATATACATCTGGCACATATACAAATGTAAATGTCATTTCCATAATAGTTCTTATTGAGCCAGGTGCAGTGGCTTATGCCAGTAATTCCAGCACTTTGAGAGGCCAAGGTGGGAGAATTACTTGAGCCCAGGAGTTTGAGACCAGCCTGAGCAACATGGTGAAACCCCATCTCTACAAAAATAAATAAATTAGCCAGACGTGGTGGCAGGCACCTGCGGTCCCAGCTACTCAGGAGGCTAAGGTGGGAAGATTGATTGAGCCCAGGAGTTTGAGGTTGCAGTGAGCCCAGGAGTTTGAGTGCCGTGATGGCGCCACGGCACCCCAGCCTGGGCGACGACAAGACCCTGTCTCAAACCACCCCCAACCAAAAAAACCCCAAAATAGTTGTTATTCTTTTTTTCCTATATTTTCTGTGAACCCAATAGCAGTGGTTTATGCAATATCTTTCCTAAGTCCTAGTAAGAACAAAACTCCCACAAATTACTGCAAACTAGAACATTTCAAATAAATATTCTATAATAACAAAAATGATACAAGTTGGCCAGACGCCGTGGTTCACGCCTGTAATCCCAGCACTTTGGAGGCCGAGGCAGGCAGATCACCTGAGCTCAGGAGTTCGAGACAAGCCTGGCCAACACGGCAAAACCCCATATCTACTAAAACAAAACAAAACAAAACAAAACAAATACAAAAAATCAACTGGGCGTGGTGGCGCACGCCTGTAGTCCCAGCTACTCAGGAGGCTGAGGCAGGAGAATCACTTGAGCCTGGGAAGTAGAGGTTGCAGTGAGCCGAGATTGTGTCACTGCACTCCAGCCTCGGTGACAAAGTGAGACCCTGTCTCAAAAAAAAAAAAAAAAAAGATACAACTCATAAAACAAAATGATAAATACATTGGCACACACTGTGTCACATAGTAAGGGCTGGATTCCTAAGTTAATGAAGATTATTTAGTTGTCATCTTTATGAACATAAAACATTTCATATAAAAAGGAAATATCTCATTTAATTATCAAACAACCTGTAGGATGGGCACTCCGACCCCTGTTTTTCGCGTCTGAGGCCCGTGCACTGTCCTTCCTCGCTTTGTGTTTCGTTTCCAGGGCCTCTTACCAAGGTGTCTCTCTGGTCCTCGCTGTGAGGTGGGTCTTGGTTTCTCCGGACTGAATACTTCCTTCAGGAAGGGAACTTGTGGGGTCACTAGATGGCGCTCTCCGGCTCCTCTTGCCCGAAGGCGGCGTATTTTGATTGGCTTGTGTACTTCCCGGATCAAAGCACCTCTGGGCATTTTCATAACGACTCTTCTTACTGTTTGGGCTATAAATAGCCAGTGACTCTGCTCCACACAGCGTCCCCAGCCTAAGCCCTGCTTGAAGCCCTGTTTGTCTCCCTCAGGAGACCGAGCCCATCTGTTTCACTCTCTTCCTGAGATCATTCTCAGAAGTAGATTAAGCATGTTTCTTTTTCTCTTTTTAATTTAAACTCTACTTATTCATTTTGTAGAGATGGGGGTCTCACTATGTTGCCCAGGCTGGTCTCAAACTCCTAAACTCAAGTAATCCTCCCACTTCGGCTCCCAAAGTGCAGGGATTAGAGGCGTGAGCCACCCCGCCCGGCCACCTAAGCGGTTTTTAGCCCAGCAGCAGAAACATCTAGCAAATAGGAGCCCCACTAGCCACTCCCTCATTAGAAGATGTAAGGGGCATCTATGGGACATAATCCAATATAGGCACAGAGAACCACAGTTGCTGTTTTTCCTTCGGTTGCTCCTCCCTGGATGGGCCATACAGAATTCTGTCTCCTATAGCAGGAGGCTCACAGGCACCCCGTGGGAGGGAGATCTTCTAGCATGCAGAACACCATTTGACACTTACTAACAGGTGGCAATGGATGTTGATATGAAAGAGGTTGGTTTGCCTTCGTGGTGCTCCTCCCTGAGGTATCTGTGGGTCCAAGGCAAATGAAACACAGAAGGCTGTGGGAGGGAAGCTGGGAGAGTGGAGACTGAATGAGTGGGAAAGGAAGATGGGGTTTCCTGGTGCCCACCCTTGGTGGTCTAAGCACAGGTGAAGGGTTACCTAAGGAATCAGTAAAGAAATATTTGCAGCCGGCGCGGTGGCTCACGCCTGTAATCCCAGCACATTGGGAGGCCGAGGCAGGAGGATCACTCGAGGCAAGAAGTTTGAGACCAGCCTGGCCAACGTGGTGAAACCCCGTCTCTACAAAAAATACAAAATTTAGCCGGGCATGGTGGCACACGCTTGTAATTCCAGCTACTCAGGAGGCTGAGGCAGGAGAATTGCCTGAACCCAGGAGGCAGAGGATGCAGTGAGCCAAGATCATGCCTGGGTGACAGAGCAAGAGTCCGTCTCAAAAAAAGGAAGAAAGAAAGAAATGTTTGCACCATCATCTAGCCCTTTGGGTAAGAATGAGTTCTGAACACCCAGCAGGAGCATCATGTAGGTAGGCACAGTGACGAGTGGGACTGCCATCCTCCTTGGCTCACACAATTCTACCAGACCGGTTTACTGCAACGTCCTCTGTCTCCCCAGGAATGCACGCTAGAATCAAGGCAGGGAAACTGATGTTCAGTGGGAATATCTGGGTAAGCACTATCAAACACATTTACTAGCTCTCTTGAGACCAAAGCCATCCAAATTAGACTGCTGATATCTATTTGTTTACAGGAATTAAATAAGGATAAGAGAGCCAGGCATGGTGGCAGTGCCTGTGGTCCCAGGTACTCAGGAGGCTGAGGCGGGAGGATCACATAGGCCAGGAGCTCGAGGCTGCAGTGATTGTACCAGCGCACTGCAGCCTGGGGGACAGAGCGAGACCTCATCTCTCTCTCTCTTTTTTTTTTTTTTTTCAGATGGAGTCTCTCTGTCACCCAGGTTGGAGTGCAGTGGCGTGATCTCGGTTCACTGCAACCTCTGCCTCCTGGGTTCAAGCGATTCTCCTGCCTTAGCCTCCCGAGTAGTTGGGACTACAGGTGTGCACCACCACGCCCGGCTAATTTTTGTATTTTTAGTAGAAATGGGGTTTCACCATACTGGCCAGGCTGGTCTCCAACTCCTGACCTTGTGATCCGTCCACCTCAGCCTCCCAAAGTGCTGGGATTACAGGCATGAGCCATGGCGCCCGGCCGACCTCATCTCTTAAAAAAAAAAAAAAAAGAAAGATTTAAACCAACAACAAAAAACCCCTAACAAACATGTGATAGTTGGATTGCGAATACCGATTGGATTAGGGTGTGGCTGAGAAAACCTTGACCCAGCAGGGGCAGAAAGAAGGCACTGCCTTCGGGGCTGGATCAGAGAGGTGCTTTCCCGAGCGGCTTCCTGAGCTGCTCAGCGTTCTGGAGAGAAGGTGGCTTATTTCTGCCCCTTCCCCTGCGGCCGCTGGGCCACGCTCTGGAGGCCGGAGCCCTCCGTGTGCGCCTCTGCTCTGACTCCCGAGGGATGTCGGGCAGCTGAAGCCAGGCAGGGCTCCCGGGTGTGTGACTGTGGTTGTGAGAGTGTCCTCATGCCACATGACAGCGTGGGAAAGGGGCTTGTCTGTTCCTGTAAGGGCACCAAGGCTTCCTGGTTGTATCATTTCCCTTTGGATTTTTGACAGGATCCTTCCCATTCCCAGTGGATTCGGGAAAATCCTTTCGGGCCACTGGTCAGCATTCTTTTCCTCCAGCGAGCTGGGGCACCTCCATAAAGCTGACAGGCAAGGCGCAGGGCCCTCCTCACCACACACACACAGACACACACACACACACACACACACACACACACACGCCTACACACACACACACACACACACACACACACACACACACACACGCCTTTCAGTCACCGCAGGGCAGGGCCCCTGCGCCCAGCATGATGCTGTTCCTTTTGGAAACCACGAGGTGGCGCTGCTGAGACAAGGTCAAAGGTGAGGCTCGTTCCCCTGCGCTGCGAGCAAGAGGCGGCGCCCCTGGTCTGAGTCCTCAGCAGGATCCTGTCCTGGCTGCCGGTGCTGTGGCTTATTCATTGATTTTCCCATCACTTCAGCAAACATTGACTGAGTGCTACCAGGAGCCAAGAAATGGACAATGATCCATGTTCATTGCTATAGTACCTGAACACTTAAAAACACGCTCCCGGGCGGGTGACGCACGCCTGTAATCCCAGCTACTGAGACCTACTGAGGAGGCTGAGGCAGGAGAATCGCTTCAACCCGGGAGGTGGAGGCTGCAGTGAGCCGAGATCGCGCCACTGCACTCCAGCCTGGGCGACAGAGCGAGACTCTATCTCAAAGCAAAACAAAATAAGACAAAAACAAAACCAAGAAAACACGTTTTCAGGAGCTCCCAGGTCCCCAAGTGGAGCTGGAGAGGCTGCGACAGCCCAGGTCTTGAGGAACAGGTGGGTTTTGTAGGTGAGCTTGAATATAGGGGGCGCGGGTGCAGAGGGAGCCTGGCAGGTGTGGGGCAGCCAAGCCAAGGCAAATGGGTGTGACTGACAGTGAGGAGGCTAGACTAGAAAAAGCCTCTCTGGAGGCCTCAGTTTCTTTATCTGTCAAATGAGCTCCAGAGACTCAATGCAGCACTGCCAGGTCCCTCGCCTGGTAGAAGGAAGGGTACCCATGACAGGCTGTAAGAGGCATCCTCGATCATGAGATCATGAGATGGACAGGCCTGCACCCAAACCCCAGCTCAGCCCGCTACTATTTCCGTGCCTCTGACAAGTCCCTTACCTCGCTGACCTCCTGCTTCCTCTTGTAGAAAATGAGATTGATGGGCTGGGCATGGTGGCTTATGTCTGTCATCCCAGCACTTTGAGACACTGAGGCAGGAGAATCCCTCAAGGCCAGGAGTCTGAGACCAGCTTGGGCAATACAGTGAGACCCCATCTCTATGAAAAAATTTTGAAAAATTAGCCGGGCGTGGTGGTGCACACCTGTGGTCCCAAGTACTCGGGAGGCTGAGGTGGGAGGATCGCTTAAGCCCAGGAGTTCACAGCTGCAGTAAGCTATGATTGCACCACTGCACTCCAGTCTGGGCAACAGAGAAAGACCCTGTCTCAAAAAAACAAAACAAAACAAAACAACAACAACAAAAAGAAAGAAAATAAAACAAAATTGATGATACTTGCTTTGATTTGGGAGAATGTATTCTGGCAGGGTTTCAGAGCCAGGAGGCTGTGCTCAAGTTCCGACTCAGCCACTTAGTAATTGTGTGTCCTTGGGAAGTCACTGAACCTCGCTGAGTCAGAGTTTCTTCATGCCTTACATGACTACACCCAGTCTACCTTATAGAATTAATGAAAACTTAAATAAGGTGGTGTTTCCAATCCAGGAGCTAGAGCATAACGGGTGCTGAGTTATTACTTTTCCCTCTTAACTCATGTAGCACTTGCTACCAGAAGTAGAGTTCAGCAATGCGTCCTGCCTTGATTTGCTGATTAATGTTATGTTTGTTGGCCTTGTCTCCGCAACAAGATTTTAAACTTCATAAGGTCATGGACCATGTTGCCGAGCACCATGCCCAGCACACAGTAAGCATGGAATATACAGTCTCCAGCCAAGCACCATGCCCAGCACATGGTAAGCACGGAATATACAGTCTCCAGCCGAGCACCAAGGGCAGTTCACTGATATCGGGGGAACCCACCCACAATATATCAATGTAGGTTCTTTCTATTTTCTATAAGTGTCAGACTGCTGAGAAATAAAGAGAAAGAGTACAAAGAGAGGAATTTTATAGCTGGGCCGCTGGGGGTGATATCACATATCACCGTGATGCCCACCTGAGCCTCAAACCAGCAAGTTTTTTATTAAGGGTTTCAAAAGGGGAAGGGGTGTAAGAACAGAGAGTAGGTACAAAGATCACATGCTTCAAAGGGCAAAAAGCAGAACAAAGATCACATGCTTCTGAGGGAACAGGACAAAAGGCAAAGCAGAACTACTGATAAGGGTCCAACAAAGATCCCAAGGCAAAGGGCAAAAGCAGAACTACTGTTAAGGGTCTATATTCAGCGATGCATGTATTGTCTTGATAAACATCTTAAACAACAGAAAACAGGGTTCGAGAGCAGAGAACCAGTCCGACCACAAATTTACCAGGGCGGAGTTTTTCCCCACCCTAATAAGCCTGAGGGTACTGCAGGAGACCAGGGTATATATCTCAGTCCTTTCCTCAACCGCATAAGGCAGACATTCCCAGAGCAGCCGTTTATAGACCTCCCCCCAGGAATGCGTTCCTTTCCCAGGGTATTAATGTTAACATTCTTTGCTAGGAAAAGAATTTAGTGATATCTCTCCTACTTGCAAGAAGAAAAATATGGCTCTTTTTTGCCCGACACTGCAGGCAGTCAGACCTTATGATTGTCTTCCCTTGTTCCCTAAAAATCACTGTTATTCTGTTCTTTTTCAAGGTGCACTGATTTCATATTTGTTCAAACACATGTTTTACAATCAATTTGTACAGTTAACACAGTTATCACAGTGGTCCTGTGGTGATGTACATCCTCAGCTTACAAAGATAATAGGATTAAGAGATTAAAGTAAAGGCAGGCATAAGAAATTATAAAAGTATTATTTGGGAACTGATAAATGTCCATGAAATCTTCACAATTCATGTTCCTCTGCTGCGGCTCCAGCCGGTCCCTCCGTTCGGAGTCCCGGACTTCCCACAACAACTCAGACTATGGCACTTTCTAGTTTTCTCTTAGAGACAGGGTCTTGCTCTGTCACTCACGCTGGAGTGCAGTGGTATGATCACAGCTCACTGAAGCCTTGACCTCCCAGGCTCAAGTGATACTTCCACCTCAACCTCCCAAGTAGCTAGGACTACGGGTGTGCACCATGGCACCTGGCTAATTTTTTAATTTTTGGTAGGGGCAGGGTCTTGCTATATTGCCCAGACTTGTCTCCAATTCCTGGCCTCAAGTGATCCTTTCACCTCGGCCTCCCAAAGTGCTGGGATTACAGGTGTGAGTCACCATGGGCAATAGCATTTTCACTGATCCAAACAGTATTTGAGGAGATGCTATATTCAGGCTTATACATTCTAGAACTTTTCCTTTTCAAGATTTAAACTTCCTGTATAACAATGTCCTATATCTTGTGGCTGCTAATAACTGGAATAATAATAGCTAACTTTATTGAATGTTTACTGTGTGCTTTATACACATGATCTCATTTAATCTTCATAACAACCTGACGAGGTGATTTATTATTATTCCCACTTTACAGATGAGAAAACTGAGGCTCAGGAAAGTTAAGTAACAAGTGAAGTTTCCACAGCTAGTACTGTAAGTGGGAGAACTGAGATTTAAGTCCAGGTCTTTCTGATACTGGAGTTCTTGCCTGTGAGCACTCTGCAATACTGCCTCCAAAGTAATGACATGCATGCAAGCACCAGGCACATAATAGGTACTCAATAAAAGTTGGCTCTCTTCCTTCAATCAAGAAGTGTATCAAAGGCTGGGCAAGGTGGCTCACACCTGTAATCTAACACTTTGGAAGGCCAAGGAGGAAGGATTGTTTGAGCCCAGGAGTCTGAAACCAGCTGGGCAACATAGTGAGACCTCATCTCTACAAAATATAGAAAAAATTAGCCAAGTGTTGGTGGCACACACCTGTAATCCCAGCTACTTGGGAGGCTGAGGTAGGAGGATCACCTGAGCCCAGGAGGCCGAGGTTGCAGTGAGCTGTGTTTGCACCATTGTACTCCATCCTGAGTGACAGAGTGAGACCCTGAAGCAAGCAAGCAAGCAAACAAGCAAGCAAGAAAGAGAAGGAAGGAAGGGAGGGAGGGAGGGAGGGAAGGAGGGAGGAAGGGAGGGAGGGAGGGAGGGAGTAAGGGAGGGAGGGAGGGAGGGAGGGAGTAAGGGAGGGAGGGAGGGAGGAAGGGAGGGAGGGAGGGAGGGAGGGAGGAAGGAAGGGAGGGAGGGAGGGAAGGAGGAAGGAAGGGAGGGAGGGAGGAAGGGAGGGAGGGAGGGAGGGAGGAAGGGAGGGAGGGAAAAGAAGGGAGTCTAGGATGAAGTGGGCACCTAAGCAGGTGAATAGGATAGGTAAAATCTCATCCCTGCCCTCAGGCGGTAGACACTCTCCAGTCATAAGCTCTAATGTGCTGTAGAAAAGCCTCAGGTTCTCAGGGGTTTTCCAGCTGAGCATCTGGAAGGCCGCAGTGCAGTTCTGTGTCCAAGCACTGCAGAGCCTCATGCAACAGTCTCATCACTCGGTGCGACCCTCCTGGAAGGTCTGTTCCCAGGGGAGGCTACAGCGAGGCAAGGGGAATGCAAGAGTTCCTAGCCAGGCTAGGACCTCAACTTGGCATTCGCGAGAGACAGATTCTCTGTGTCCCCCGTCCCAGCCCTGAAACCCACAGGAGGTAGAGGAGCAAGCTCTCAGTGAAGGCCTCGTCTCTGGAATCTCTTCTTTGGGGAAAAAACGACATGAGCCTGCCACAGAGCCTGTTTATGAAACAAATCAGAGAGCTATTTTGAGCAATTACCCCCAGCAATCACGACAGCATAACTTGTGTAGTCGGAACTAGGTCACCAAGTAATCTCACCAGCGCCAGAAGAAATTCATCTGGGAAGGACACTAGCTTGGGGAGATGAGATAGGATAGGCCCTGGCCTCTTGTCAAGATATCCAGATTTCAAGGGACAACTGAAGACACAACAGAGACAGGGGCTCACTATGCATTTCCTTTTAAAATTGGCAATAATCTGGCCACAGAATCAAGGTAAAGTTACTGAATCCTCTGGTTCTTGGTTCGGCATGATTGTAGCTGCTGGTGGTTGTCATGGAAACCAGCAGAGGCGTTAGATCTTAGCTCTGACACTCAGGAGAAGCTGAACTTATTCTGTTATGAGCTTTTTTTTTCTCTCTTTTTTTCTTTTTTTTTTTTTTAAATAGAAATTGTCTTGAACCTGGATAAACAGGCCTCAAAGTTTTTCCTCCGCCTGGCTTGGATATGTTTCTGTTTCTGCTTTCTGGCTACACAGAATCTAACGACGCATCAAGAATTGGCCCTGGTGCTCTGTAAGATGTTTTGTTGGGTCTCTTTTCAGTTGCCAGAGACAGAGACCTAAATCGACCTAGGTTAGGTAAGAAAAAATAAAAAGATTCATTATTGAGTAAATTATCAATGTGATATTGAATACCCTTTTTTTACTTTTTAGTTTTTTCATTTAATTCTAATTTTAAAATTTATTTTTTCATTTTACTTTTTTTTCCCCCACAATATAGGTGGGGAAAGACCGAAACTGGTCTGAAAATATTTGGAAACACAAAGACGGCCTTGGGCTGGGCGTGGTGGCTCATGCCTGTAATTCCAGCACTTTGGGAGGCTGAGGCAGGAGGATCACTTGAGCCCAGGAGTTGGAGACCAGCCTGGGTAACAAAGGGAGACTCCTTCTCCACCAAAAATTAAAAAATAAGCCAGGTGCGGTGGTACATGCCTATAGTCCCAGCTACTCAGGAGGCTGAGGTGGGAGGATCACTTGAGTCCAGGAAGTTGAGGTTGCAGTAAACTATGATCACACCACTGCACTCCAGTCTGAGTGACAGTGAGACCCCCATCTCTAAAAAAATTTAAAAAATTAGCTAGGCATGGTGGCACATGCCTGTAGTCCCAGCTACTTGGGAGGCTGAGGCAGGAGGATCACTTGACCCAGGAGGTTGAGGCTGCAGTGAGCTGTGATTGTGCCACTGCACTCCAGCTTGGGTGACAGAGGCAGATCCTGTCTCATTAAAAGGGTGGGAGATGACATTAGGAGTCTCTCTCTGTTTTGCCATCTCTCATCTTCGAGTCCATCACACTCTTGCTCTGTCGCCCAGGCTGGAGTGCCACGGCATGCTCACTGCAACCTCCGCCTCTCGGGCTCAAGCCATCCGTCCACCTCAACCTCCTGAGAAGCTGGGACTACAGGCACGCACTACCACGCTTGGCTAATTTTTCATATATTTTGTAGAGACAGGACTTCACCATGTTGCCCAGGGTGGTCTCAAATACCTGGGCTCAAGCAATCTGCCCGCCTCAGCCTCCCAAAGTGCTAGGATTATAGGCATGAGCCACGGTGCCCAGCCCCATCAGACTCTAAGCCTCCCCCTGGGCAAGGGATGGAGCAGGCAGTTCTGAAGTCACATCCTCACACTCTTTCTGCTTTAGTTTAAGGGAGAGAAGTTGGCTTCGAGGATGAAAAAAAATCCCAGGTGGGTTCTGATTGCCTCAGCTGGGAACAGGTGCCTGCGCCAGGGCCGGCTGCCACGTGTGAGGTGGGACCCGTGTCCTCCGCCCTCTGAGACAGCCAGGTGTTGGAAAGGATCTAAAACACGAATTCCATCTCACGTGTGTATATAGACGGCAGCTCCATTTGTTGTTCCTTCTAGGGGGTCCATACTTGTATCAGTCTGAGTCCAGTCCGGAGAGAGAAATCACGTAGTAATTTGAACAGAGAAAATTCAATATAAAGAATTATTTACTAGAGCAAGGGATTACAGCCATGAGGGGCTGGCTAGTAACAAAGAAAGAAAACTCCAGTGAACCAGCCCCAGGACTGAGAGAGCCCCCACGCCGGCCCCAGGCGGAGATCCAGACCTGTGCAGCTGTGACTCTGAATGGCAGAGAAGTTGTTGTGGTGCCCTGTGGCAAATCCTTCTGGAAGTCGGCCCTCCGAGGTGCCAGGTGTCTTGATTGCTAGAGGCATGCTGCTATAAAAACGGCACCAGGGCTGGCGGGCGCCGGGCTGGGCGGGGAGGTTCCGTCTCCTGGGTGCTGCTGGCTGCAGTCACTGTAGGAGCGGGGCACTGGGGGAACCACCCAGTGAGCACCCTGGAACCCAGAGGCAAGTCAACCTCTTCTCCTTCTCCCGTGTCTCTCTATCACCCTCTACTGGCAAGATTTCAGTGCTAGCTAGCCCGGGAAAAAAATATTTAAAGGTCCAGATCCATTTTCACAGAGTAGTCCAAAAGGGGGAATTTGGAGCTGAGAGTCCAAGATGGAAAAACTGGTCTGGGCGTGGCAGCTCACGCCTGTAATCCCAGCACTTTGGGAGGCCATGCAGGAGAATCACTTGCACCCAGGAGTTAGAGACCAGCCTGGGCAACATAGTGAGATGTCTCTATGAAAAATAAAAATTAAGAAAATTGCCAGTCCTGGTGGTACATGCCTGTAGTCCCAGCTACTTGAGAGGCTGAGGCAAGAGGACAGCTTCAGCCCAGGAGATGGAGGCTGCAGTGAGCTATGGTAGTGCCACTGCACGCCAGGGCCTGGGCAACAGAGCAAGACATTGTTGCAAAAAAAATGTATATATATATATATGATGCATAATACCTCAGATTACTCTCCGTTGGGGAAATATTCAGATTTTAGAAGCCATAAAGCAATGAAATAGACATTTAGCATCAACTATGTGTTATGTTTAGATTTGAATCTAACAGAATTAGGCGCTGTAGATCCTTGTTTAGCAGTGTGATATGATGAGAGCAAGTCTACCACATGAAGCTTCCTTTTAGATGCTTAAAATCACAGGGTAGGAAGGCTTGCTTCCTCTCCAGTTATTAAAGAAATTAAATTTAAAATTATATCATGTACCATTTTACACCTACCGGCATAAATGGAGGTGATAATGAACCCAGTGCTGGTCAAGTATTGGATACAGACGTGTAAACATCACTGGTGTCACCAGTTTATTACAGGGGTTCCGTCTTTTTGAAGGAAAATAATAAAACAAGAGCCTTAAAACAATCTTACCCCTTATTCAGTAATCCAAAAACCTCTGAATGTATTTCTAAGTAAAAAGTTCAAGGTCAGGTGCAGTGGCTCACGCCTGTAATCCCAGCAATTGGAGAGGCGGAGGTGGAAGGGTCGCTTGAGCCCAGGAGTTTGAGATCAGCCTGAGCAACAACATAGGGAGACCCTGTCTCTACAAAAATTTTAAAAAATTAGCCAGACGTGGGGGCGTGCAGCTATGGTCCCAGCTACTTGGTAGGCTGAGGTGGGAGAATCACCTGAGTCCAAGAGTTTTAGGCTGCAGTGAGCTATGATCACACCACTGCCCTCCAACCTGGGCAACAGAACAAGACTCTGTGTCTAAAATCATAATAATAATAATAGTTCAAAATAAAGGTCTATCTGTACAATAATATTTACAGTAGTATTCATTTATTATAGAGAGAAAGGTAGAAAACCCAAATGTCTAATGAATAAAGAAAGGTTACAGCCAGGCTCAGTGGCTCACATCTGTCATCCCAGCGCTTTGGGAGGCTAAGGCGGGCGAATGGCTTGAGCCCAGGAGTTTGAGACCAGCCTGGGAAACATGGAGAAACCTGTCTTTACAAAAACTACAAAAATGAGCCAGGCATAGTGGCATGCGCCTATAGTCCCAGCTACTCAAGAGGCTGAGGTGGGGGGATTGCCTCAGCCCAGGAGACTGAGGCAGCAGTGAGCTGTGATCTCACCACTGCTCTTCAGCCTGGGCAACAGAGTGAGACCCTCTCTTAAAAAAAGAAAAAAGGAATATGAGGATGAAATTAGGCAAAGTGAAGAAAATAGCCAAAAAAAAAAAAAGTGTACATACTATAACTATGGGGAAGAAACTTTATACACAGGTTACATGAATATACTAAAAACCACAGAATTGTTCACTAAGTTTTTGAATTTTATGGTATATGAATTATATCTCAAATGTAAAAAAAGAAAAAACACTAATTGAGGCCACAGGGATATGTAAAACATTTCTGTGGTAAAGGAGGGAGATGTTTTGCTTATGTATTCCTCCAAAGTTGTTTAAATCTGAAGTTTTAAGTTAAAAGTTTGATTCTGCAGTCTCTGTCCTGCTTTTTTGTAGCAGGCCAAAGTTGTTCCCTCACCACACAGCCCTCAACGGGGCTCACTCTACTTTTTTTTTTTTTTTTTTTTTGAGATGGAGTCCCACTCTGTCTCCCAGGCTGGGGTGCAGTGGCGTGATCTCGGCTCACTGTAGCCTCTGTCTCCTGGGTTCAAACGATTCTTCTGGCTCAGCTTCCTGAGTAGATGGGATTACAGGTGCCCGCCACCATGCTCAGCTAATTTTTGTATTTTTAGTAAAGACGGGGTTTCACCATATTGACCAGGCTGGTCTTGAACTCCTGACCTCGGGATCTGCCTGCCTTGGCCTCCCAAAGTGCTGGAATTACAGGCGTGAGCCACCACGCTCGGCCGCTCGCTCTGCTTCTGAGGGGTCTTCTACTCCCACGAGTAGACAGGTCAGGCTGCAAACACCCAGTCGCCATCACACTGGCGGGAAATGTCCCCTGAGCCGGAGTCAGGGACTCAGAGGGGCAATGGTGCTTCCGACCACTGAGGGTTCATTTCCTTCAGGGGACTGTCCATCGGGGGCGGTGTGGCGCCTGGAGCTCACACATGTGCAGAGCCTCAGCCACTGCTCTGAGAAGTCAGCAGTCAGAGTTCTATACACAAGGGGCTTAAGGGCTGCAGTCTAATTGGACGGGGGAGATGCAAGTGCCAAGAAAACATGGTGCTTGGACTTAGATTGCATACTTATTCAGGGTGGCTTTGGGGAATGCCCGTAACAGTTATGAAGATAGGGGCAAAAGCTTCCACAAGCGACCACATGGTGATGCCAACCAAATAAGGTAAATGTCGTGACTATCGTCCACATCTCATACTAGCAAACAGGCTTTGTGTGAGCAACAAGGCTGTTTATTTCACCGGGGTGCAGGTGGGCTGAGTCTGAAAAAGGAGTCAGCAAAGGATGGTGGGATTATCATTAGTTCGTATAGGTTTGGGATGGGCGTACAAAATACATTGTCAAGGGCGGGGGAGAATATATCGTATTAGTTAGGGTGGGGCAGGAACAAATCACAATGGTGGGATGTCGTCAGTTAAGGCTATTTTCACTGCTTTTGTGGATCTTCAGTTGCTTCAGGCCATCTGGATGTGTACATGCAGGTCACAGGGGATACGATGGCTTAGCTTGGGCTCAGAGGCCTGACAACACATGAGGAAATGGAGCTTAGAGAGGTTGAGTGACTTGTCCAAGGTCACATAGCTGGCCCAAGATGGAGCTGGGCATGAGCTTACTCCTTGGGATGATGGCGCCCATGCTTTGTGGCATCAGCATTACTGCAGCACAGCTTACATGTCTTACCAAAATGCTTCCTCTTTAGGAGGTGGGGTTGTGACTTGGACAAGGACACATTCTTCCCAAATCAATGACTGCAACACTTAACACTTCTTATGTAACTGGAAACCAATGAATATTGTTTCGGCAGGGCGCGGTGGCTCATGCCTGTAATCCCAGCACTTTGGGAGGCCGAGATGGGCGGATCACGAGGTCAGGAGATCGAGACCATCCTGGCTAACACGGTGAAACCCCATTTCCACTAAAAATACAAAAAATTAGCCAGGCGTGGTGGCAGGCGCCTGTAGTCCCAGCTACTTGGGAGGCTGAGGCAGAAGAATGGCATGAATCCGGGAGGCGGAGCTTGCAGTGAGCCCAGATTGTGCCGCTGCACTCCAGCCTGGGCAACAGGGCGAGACTCTGTCTCAAAAAAAAGGAAAAAAAAAAAAAAACAAAAAAGAATATTGTTTGAATGGATGAATAAATGAATATCAAGTAAATAAAAGAGGCAAAGCCATCATAGCAGTCTTTTAAAAAAAAACTGTATTTTCTGGGGATACTTAAATTAAATACTATTCCCAGAAAATACAGTTATCCTATTAATTCTAGTAACTCTCCTTGTCTCTTGGGTATGTGAACATAGATTATGTGTGAATATACACACGTGTGTGCTCTACTTCTGGCCAATGTTAAGCTTACCTAGATTACTTAATGTAGAGTGGATATAATAGAATGGATATATTCATAGCTGCTAGATTTAGGAAGGCAGTATTATTTTAACAGGCTACTAGCTTGCTTCTTTAGCAGTTACAATTCTATAACTGTATGATTGTTCCTTTTCTTTTTCTTCTTTTTTTTTTTTTTTATTTATTTTGGGAGGCTGAGGTGGGTGGATCACTTGAGCCCAGGAGTTTGAGACTAGCCTGGGCAACATGGTGAAACCCTGTCTCTGCAAAAAATATAAAAATTAACCAGGCATGGTGATGCATGCCTGTAATAACAGCTACTCAGGAGGCTGAGGCGGGAGGATTGCTGGAGCCCAGGAGGTTGAGGCTGTAGTGAGCTATGATGGCACCACCACACTCCAGCCTGGGTGACAGAGTGAGGCCCTATCTCAAAAAAAAAAAAAAAAAAAAAAGAAAAAGAAAACAAAAACCAAAAAACAAACAAACAAAAAAACCTTGGCCAACCCTGTCTTATGTAGTTAAATTATAAACATGATATTTTAGAACACTGGGATGGATGTATGCTGAAGGGTACTAGATATCTGGGGTACAGTTAATCTTGGGATATTAAGATCTTGATGTATGATTAGACCCTGGAGGGTGTCATGCGCGTCCTTGAGAAGAGACCACCAAACAGGCTTCGTGTGAGCAATAAAGCTTTTAATCACCTGGATGCAGGCAGACTGAGTCCGTAAAAGGAGTCAGCAAAGGGAGATCGGGGTGAGGCAGTTTTATAGGATTCGGGCAGGTCGTGGAAAATTACAGTGAAAGGGGGTGTTCTCTTGCGGGCAGGGGCGGGGGTCACAAGGTGCTGGTGGGGAGCTCCTGAGATTCATTGTCCAGGAGAAGGAATGTCACAAAGTCAATTGATCAGTTAGGGTGGGGCAGGAACAAGTCACAATGGTGGAATGTCATCAGTTGAGGCAGGAACTAATAAGTGGCTATTTTCACTTATTCTGTGGATCTTCAGTTGCTTCAGGCCATCTGGATGTATACGTGAGGGTCACAGGGGATATGACGGCTTAGCTTGGCCTCAGAGGTCTGACAGAGGGCATCTCGTCCATCTGCCCGCAAGATTCCTGATTTCACCCCTCACCCATCCCTTATCTTTCCAATAGTCAGTTTTCCTTTGAACATCTTCCTTAGAAGATGACCTCACCTTCAGAAGATGTCTATCACATTTCAGCCAGCTGTGACAAACAGAAACTTTATAAATTAGGCTGGGCGTGGTGGCTCACGCCTGTAATCCCAGCACTTTGGGAGGCCAAAGCGGGCAGGTCACTTGAGGTCAGGAGTTAGAGACCAGCCTGGCCAACATGGTGAAACCCCATCCCTACTAAAAATACAAAAAGAAGAAAAATTAGCTGGGTGTGGTGGCACGTGCCTGTAGTGCCAGCTACTGGGGAAGCTGAGGCACGAGAATCACCTGAACTCTGGAGGCGCAGGCTGCAGAGAGCCAAGATCGCGTCACTGTACTCCAGCCTGGGCGACAGAGTGAGATTCCATTTCAAAAAATAAATAAATAAATAAAATAAACTTTATAAATTGACCAAAATCTTTGTCCAGATTCTGAAGGCAGCTCTGCAAGGGAGATGCAAGTAGCACAGAGAACTGGCATGGTTTCCCTGCAGGCTGGTTTTCCTGGGAAGCGGACTCAGATGGAGTTTAGCCTGTACAAGTGCCCTCAGACCAACACCTGTGTAAGAGAGGAGGCAAGAGCGGGTGTGGGCAGTGGGAGGACCTGGGCTGTACTACAGGTCCAAGGACAGCCCCAGCCAACCCACAGGAATCTTTGGAGCTAGAATGCTCTTCAGAGTTTCCTGATTTCGGGGGAGATGGTCAGGTCTTCATACTCGGGCTTTCATCTGTCCCTGGATGTTGACAGGGCTGCTCTGGGGAGGAATGTGGTCTTGAAGAGCAGCTCCTGGAAGCTAAAGCAGGTCCCAAAGCCCAGAGGCAGTTTATGCAGAGATGCAAGCTCTCAGTGAAGGCCCAGCCTTCGGAATTGCTTATTTGGGGAAAAACAATGCGAATTTGCCATGGAGCTTATTTATGAAACAAACACACAGAGCTATCTTGAGCGACTGTCTCTAGGAGTCATTACAGCCCAACTGGTATGACGGGTGCGAGGTCACCAGCTAATCTCACCATAGTCAGAGCCCCGCTCATGGCAGCGCAGCAGCCAAGGCAACAAGTCCTTCCTTGAAGGACATCACTGCGCTCACCGAACACAGAGATGACATACATTAAAGCGGCGTGTCAGCCATTCCGTTGGCAATGTATTGGTTTGATAAATGTGTATCAGTGCAGCCTAAGCCACGGCATTAGCATGACGCCCACATATCACTGTTGGCTTATGATGACTGTCCACTAAACCCCTTCTTTTTCACATAGGCAGAAACTTTTTTCAGGGTTTTCAGGGAAGAAAGGGACCTGGGCTTTTAGCTCTCCCATCTCCCCTTCTGCCTCCAAACGATAGAAGCATAACAATAAAGACTTGGAGACCCAGCTTGCCATGCAGAGACTTACCAACAACCAAGCTACCAGATGCGTGTGAATCCATGTGGGGTTTGATAAGATTATTCTTTGTCCAAAGCCCTGATTGGTGGATAAGGTAAAGGAACCTAGTTTTCATTGGTAGAGGAATTAGGAGGAGGTGGTAGTGCCATCTGATTGGTGGAAAGGAGAGGGGCGTCAAGCTCACATTGGCTGGGAATTCTCCAGGTGCAAGCCACGTTCATCTCTGCACCCTCTTGAGAGTTCCCTTTGCTTCTTCCAAGCCTCTTTTCTCTGGCTTCCCACCCTGCCAGCATGGGGTCCACCCTGTAAGACGCCTGGGTGCCGATCTATCCTCTATCTACAGGGTCCCTGCTGAGCCTTTGCCCTGCAATGCCATTAGTTCCCCCCAGGCAAGGGACAAGGGGAGGCTCCTGCGGTTCATTAGTGTAAGGAAGGCCGGCTCCATGACACCAGCCCTGTGCTGTATTCAAGGGCAGGGCCCAGCTGACCCTCAGTGATGACGGAACACGGGAGAGATGACATACACTAAAATGGCATGTCAGCCATTCCATTGGCAGTTTGTTGGAACAGATGAAAAATGTGCCTCACTTCCTCATCCCTATCTGTAGATTTCAGAAATGTTGCCAAGGAAGACAAAAGATCTCTTCTCCAATGCTTGGCTTCCAATCGGTTTAATCTCTTGGAAAATGTAGACGTAATTGTTGAAAACAGGCTCTGCATCCTTTCCAGCCCCAGGGCCTAGCCCTTCCCTCTGATGGGCCACGTGCTTCCCAGGGGTCTTTGGGTCAGCTTGGCGTAGTCATAAAACAATTCTCCTTGAAATTAAGTGAATCAAGAGCTGAGGTTTCAGAAAGGGACCAGGAATTGAAGGCTGTGATTTCTCTCTTGAGGTCTTCTGAGGCTTCTGACTTGTTTACTTGTCCTTATTGCAATAGGAAAAAAAAGTTCTTCTGTATCCCACAGAAGAACAAAAATACTATTGAAAAATGATTTAGGGAGGAAATACAACACCATTAGAAATCAGATCTGGGATCGTGTAGGAGAGAAGGACAGGAGGGACCCCAGCCCATATGCAACACAGAAATACCAGCGGCTGCTTGGCTGCGCCTTCCACTCCTGTAGCTGAGACAACCATCAGCGCATGAGGTCACAGAAGGGCTGCTGTGGAGGGCTCCCTGGAGACCCACCTCGGGGCTGCTGGGAAAGGGAACTGCAGCCACAGAGCAAAAGCCTGTTGGTGAAGGCTTTTACTGACAGCTGGCTCCCATCTCCCCCAGAGCCTGCCCTCTCCCAGGCCTCCATTTGCAGATTTTTGTTCTTTTATGCCTGCAACAATTCCATTTGTGTTTATTATTAAATTATTGATCCCTTAAGTGTTTATGGCCTGCCAGACTCGTCACTAGCTAAAAGAAAAAATACACACATGTGTACATACTCATCAATATACATTATCTCGGCTGGGCACGGTGGCTCACACCTGTAATCCCAGCACTTTGGGAAGTCCAGGCGGGCAGATCACTTGAGGTCAGGAGTTTGAGACAGCAGCCTGGCCAACATGGTGAAACCCTGTCTTTACTAAAAATACAAATATTAGCTGGGTGTGGTGGCACATGCCTGTAATCCCAGCTACTCGGGAGGCTGAGGCAGGAGAATCACTTGAACCCAGGAGGCAGAGGTTTCAGTGAGCCAAGATCACACCACTGCACTCCAGCCTGGGCAACAGAGTGAGACTGTCTCAAAAAAAAAAAAAAGCCATTGTCTCACTGGGTGCAGTGGGAGATGGAGACAGCAGTGAGCTGTGGTCACGCTACTGCACTCAGACCTGGGCAACCCCGTCTCAAAAAAAAAAAAAAAAAAGCATTATTTCTAAAATGAGTGCTCATTTCCTTTTTCTCTATTTTTACTTGCTTTTTCCTTGGACAAATCCAGCATGCTTTGCAGACATGAAGACAAACATGATGTTTGCTGTGTCCTGTATTAGAATCTGCTTTTCCTTCCCACAATGGCCAAGGGGCTGTAGGGGAGGGTGCCTCCCGGGTCACTCAAGCTCATTCTGCACAAGGAAACCTGCATCGCACACAGACAAGGCTTGGTTCTGTGGTGACCGCCTCACCAGCTGCTCTACCCTTCCCTTCTTGTCCTTTAGCCAATTCATCACTCTATGCAGAAGGAAAGAGACCAGATGGACCTTGGCCACAGCTAATCCAAATGCACTTCTATTTATGAGCAATGATGTTTAACACCAAGTGGGAGTTGCTGTCCTGAAAGAGGGTCGGACAAAGACGAAAGCGCTCATCCAGAGGAGCTGGTCCCGCAAGGGCAGAGGGGCCAACAGCTGTTGCTGACAAGCAGAGGCAATGGAAGCTAAGCCTAGGAACAGGGCAAGCGAAAACGCCATCTTTTTTCACAGTGAATCATTGAGTGTCGGCTGGGTGCAGCCAGCAATCTCATCTCTGGAACAAGATCGGAATAAAAATAAGATGATCTAAGAGCCAGAACAAATGGCAATTATAGGCCATATCTCCTAACTGTGTTTTTAGCTGGTGCTATCTGCAAACTAGGAGTGACACACACAATTCTGTGAATTTGGGCCACCGTGACTGCCACTATAGGACAAACAGCACACACAGCCACGTTCAGAAGGTTTTTCACTTCAGGTAGAGTACTCAGTTTTTGGGGTTTTTTTTCATCACATTCTAAGCTATGACTACATTTCCACTTTTGTGAAAGATTAAAAACGGTTTAAATTCTGCAGACTCAGAGTCTTGTTCCACAAATGCCAACGCATTGTGATCACATCCTGCCCTTTGCAGACGTACTGCTGTCATGGCTGTGCCGATACCGTCTTCTGTTTGCAGACTCAAGACCCTGGGCTGCTTAGGAACTACGATGGGGGCTGAAGGCTGCTTCTGGAGACGGATCCCCTCTGCTCCTCTGGCCCTGATGACCCTGTCTCCTGTGGTCTTCAGCTTCTATAACACACTGTGGCACTGACAGAATTGCCAGACTTAGCAGACAAAAAATATAGGATGCCCAATTAAGTTTGCATTTAAGATAAACAAATTATTTTTAGTCCAAGAATGTCTGGTGCAATCCCTGAGCATCCTGTATTTCATCTGGCAGCCCTAGGCACAGAACAGACACAGGTCTGCCAGGGAAACCCTCTGCCTTCTTACCAGGATCCCCCAGAGAAACTCACACAAACACAGGACAACTCCATGCTAACTGCCTCACTGCCCGTGGCCTGCAGATACACAGTAACTGCCTCTGTTGTCTTTTTCCATGTGTAAGACCCAGAGTAACAGTGATCAAAGGCACAAAGTTCTAGGTCACAAAAGAGCAGGAGGAGAAGGATGCAGTGGTGATCCCAGGAGAAATGCCCTACAGGTATTTTCAACTTCTCAAATTTGAAGTGGAAAATCCTCCGTCAGCTGTGCTGCTCTTGGTCTCAAGTAAGTCACTGAAACTGCTCGGAGCCCAGCCTCATCTCTGATACAACAGAGCAAATTAACACTGCCCAATAATCCCCAAATAACACAACTTTAAAGAGCCAGACAAGGCTTACACACAACATCTGTGCTGCAGCTGGTCTCCAGGGGCAGGAACTAGACTCTTTCCCAGGTTGCCTGTGTAAGGAGCACATATAACAAGGGGTAGTATGCTCCCGGGGCCAGGTCCTCCAGAACTGGAACGTTGTTTGGGTTCTAGCTCTTGGTGGCTCTCAAGAGCGAGCCTTTCTGGCTGTCTAGTGGTTCTGCTGCTTCTAGACTCTTCAGCCTTATGCTGTTTCCCTGACAACGGCCCCAGCGTCTGCTTCTTCTGACTGCCACGGCCAGATACAGACTCCGTGCTCCAAACCGAAATCATCTGAGACATGACCTGCCTGGGCAGATACTTCCACAAAAGTTCCTGATTCTATGTTGTTCCAGAGACAAAAACTGCCCCCAAAGAACCCGTTCTCATCCAAGTCACTGTCCTTCTTCAGGTTCAAGCTTCAAGGCGTGCATCAGGCCAAGGCCCCAGTGCCCCAGTCTAATCACCTGTGACTAGGTTTGCAGGATAATGTAAGGAAAAGCATCAAACCTTATTGAGAAGCAGCGATCTGTGGCAGGCTCTTCTTTACAAGGGGGCTATGGGCACAGCGAGTGCTTCAAATTCTACAGATCGTTTCATTTCTTCCACCTCTGACCCCCATGTACAGCTTCAAAGAACTCCCATCCTACCCAACCCAGTGATTACACTCACCCACCCACCAAGTACAGACATCCAGGCTGTCTTTTCTCAGCGGTGGAAAGTCGAACACTTCTGGATATTCAAAGAATAAGAGGATTTTAAAGTTTGGAGTTATCTTAGAAATTGTACAGATGAGGGGCTGGGCGCAGTGGCTCATGCCTGTATTCCCAGTACTTTGGGAGGCCGAGGGGGCTGGATTACAAGGTCAGGAGTTCGAGACCAGCCTGACCAAGATGGTGAAACCTCGTCTCTACTAAAAATACAAAACTTAGCCGGGCGTGGTGGCGCGTGCCTGTAATCCCAGCTATTTAGGAGGCTGAGGCAGGAGAATCGTTTGAACCCGGGAGGCGGAGGTTGCAGTGAGCCGAGATCGCACCACTGTATTCCAGCCTGGGCAACAGAGCAAGACTCTGTCTCAAAAAAAAAAAAGAGATTGTACAGATGAGGAGACTGGAGTCCAGAGTGGAGGCTGCACACCTAGTTGATGTGGAATCATCAAGATTCCAGCCCTAGGACTGCAGGACTGCTTCCCCGCTCCGGCTCTTACGTACCAGAAAACCACCCTATATGACAAAAGGCTCCTCTCCAGAGTTGGCTCAACTACTATTCCTATCCCAATAATTTAGGTTTTCCCACTTAAGAAAAAAAAAGAAAAAGAAATGGTTGGGGGTGGGGGTGGGGAGGAGAGGTGGGGGGAAAAGATTATTTACATTTACAGTCCCTTTAGGACCAAGTTCCTATGCAGATTGGAAGCTTAGGCAAAGAGTTTCTTCTTCTTTGTTTAGTAGAGATTTTGCCAACCCTCAACCTTGTACTTGGAAAATAAGAACCAGCCATTTATGGGCTGTCGTCATTCTGGTGGATGATGTCAGCTGCCTCCACTCCCTAAGTGCCTATCTCTCCTTCCTGACCCTTGATCCCAGGCAATTAAGAAAAGCAATAAAATCATGAAACCTCACTTTTGATCAATGCATTCCGGCCAGAGGGAGATCAGGTTGTCCTTACAGAATGTCTATAATTAGATTGGATTTGGAATTTGGACTGCCACATCAAGTAGAAAAAAAGCATGGTTTTAAATTGCCATCTCAACATTTCAGAAGAAACTAGAAGGATCTAAAAGCAGTGGAGAGACTTCAGACAGAAATAAAGAAAAATAAGAGGATTGCAACACTATGTAAGTAGCTAGTTGGGCAGTTAGGTCTTACACAAATGAGGGCTGGTACTTGGAGGTCACCAAAATTTTTTTTCTAACCCAACTAAGCAAAAACAGTGAAAGGAAATAAGATATTCTGTCATACAGTAGGGGTTCCCTTGGCCATCATATATTACTTTGAGATCCCATAAGGCTACAAACTGAACATATATATATTCCACATATATAAAATTCCAAATATATATATATAGTCCAAATATATATATTCCAAGTATATGTGTGTATATATATATATATACATGTGTATATATACTTTTTTTTTTGAGACAGAATTTTGCTCTTGTTGCCCAGGCTGGAGTGCAATGGTGCGATCTCGACCCACTGCAACCTCCGCCTCCTGGGTTCAAGTGATTCTCCTGCCTCAGCCTCCCAAGTAGCTGGGATTACAGGCATGCACCACCATGCCTGGCTAATTTGTTTCTGTATTTTTAGTAGAGATGGGGCTTCATTATGTTTGTCAGGCTGGTCTGGAACTCCTGACCTCAGATGATCCACCTGGCTCGGCCTCCCTAAGTGCTGAGATTACAGGCGTGAGCCACTGCGCCTGGCCTGAACATATTTTTAACAACTTTATTGAGGTATGACTTATGTACATAACTGCATTCATTTAAAGTGCGCAGCTCTCCAAATCCAAGTGATTCTGAAAAAAAGAAAAATAAAAAATAAAGTACGTAACTCAATGAGCTTTGAAAGATGTATATTCATCCTCCCTCCATCCTTTGCCCCTCAGAGAAACACCGATCTGTTTCTGTTGCTATGGATTGGTTTGCATTTCCTAAAACTTTAGATAAACAGAAACATGTGATGTGTACTCTGTTGCTTCTGGCTTCTTTCACCCAGAAAAATTACTTTGAGATCCATCTATGTCACTTATGTGTCCATAGATCGTTCTTTTTTGTTGCTGAATAGTAAGTAGTCTCTTGTATCGGTGATGGATATTGGAGTGTTTCCATTTTTTGGCTGTTATGGATAAAGCTGCTGTGAACATTTGTGTGGACACGTTGTCATCTCTCTTAGGTAAAAATCTAGCTGTGGAATTGCTGGGTCATGCAATAGATGCATATTTAGCTTTATAAGAAACTGTCAGCCGGGCGTGGTGGCTCAAGCCTGTAATCCCAGCACTTTGGGAGGCCGAGGCGGGCAGAACACAAGGTCAGGAGTTCGAGACCAGCCTGACCAACATGGTGAAACCCCGTCTCTACTAAAAATACAAAAATTAGCCAGGCATGGTGGTACGCACCTGCAGTCCCAGCTACTCACGAGGCTGAGGCAGGAGAACCCGGGAGACGGAGGTTGCAGTGAACCAAGACTGTACCACTGCACTCCAGCCTGGGCAACAGAACGAGACTCTGTCTCAAAAAAAAAAACAAAAAAAGAAAGAAAGAAACTGGCAGGGCCCGGTGCTGTAATCCCAGCACTTTGGGAGGCGGAGGCGGGCAGATCACGAGGTCAGAAGATGGAGACCATCCTGGCTAACACGGTGAAACCCCGTCTGTACTAAAAATACAAAAAAATTAACTGGGCGTGGTGGCGCGTGCCTGTAGTCCCAGCTACTCAGGAGGCTGAGGCAGGAGAATAGGGTGAACCTGGGAAGCGGAGCTTGCAGTGAGCCGAGATCGCACCACTGCACTCCAGCCTAGGAGACAGAGCGAGACTCTGTCTCAAAAAAAAAAAGAAACTGTCAGCTGGGCATGGTGGCTCATGCCTGTAATCCCAGCACTATGGGAGGCTCAGGCAGGCAAATCACCCGAGGTCAGGAGTTCAAGACCAGCCCTGGCCAACTTGGCGAAACCCCATCTCTACTAAAAATACAAAAAATTAGCTAGGCATGGTGGTGGGTGCCTGTAATCCCAGCTACTCGGGAGGCTGAGGCAAGAGAATCGCTTGAACCCGGGAGGCAGAGATTGCAGTGAGCCGAGATCGTACCACTCACTCCAGCCTGGGAGACAGAGTGAGACTCCACCACCCCCACCCTCCAGCCCCCAAAAAAGTAACTGCCAAACTGTTTTCCAAAGTGGGCGTATCATTTCATACTCCCACTAGCTGTCTGTGAAAATTTGTTCCATGTCCTCACCAACACTTGGTAGTGTCAGTCTGTGTGTGTGTTAAAATACACGTAACATAAAATTTGCCATTTTCACCATTTTTCAGTGTACAACTCCATGGCATTAAGTACATTCAACGTCATGCAACCCTCCATCACCACCATCTGTTTTCTAAAATTTTTTATCATCTGAAACACAAACACTCTAACAAGTGGTAACTCCCCGTTTCCTTGTTCGTCCAGCCTCTGGTAACCTCTAATTTACATTTTGTTTCTTTGATTTTGCCTATGATAGATATTTCCTGTAAGTTAAATCATACGATATTTGTATCTGGCTTATTTCAGATAGCGTAACATCTTTTCAAGATTCACTCATGCTGTAGTATGTATCATTTCATTATTCTCATTGTGGTTTGGATTTGTATTTTCCTCATGACCAATGACGTTGAGCATCTTGTCATGTGTTATTGGCCATTTGTGTATCTTCTTGGAATAAATCTGTATTTAAGTCCTTTGCCCATTATTTGTTTGTCTTTTTGTTGAGGAAGCTCTTCATATACTCTTCATGACTCTGTATATGTTTACCTTTTTGTTGAGTAAGTTCTTCATAACCCTTATTATTATGTAATTTGCAAGTACTCCCTCCCATTCTTTGGGTCATCTTTTCATTTTCTTGACAATGTTCTTTAATGCACCGTTAAAAAACCCTGATGACATGTAATTTACCTGTGTATTATTATTCATGCTTTTGGTGTCATAGCTAAGAATACATTGCCAAATCCACATTTATGGAGATTCATTTTTATGTTTCCTTCAGAGTTTTATGGATTTAGCTTGTATTTAGGTCGTTGATCAGACTTGTCATACCCACAAAAAATAAACTGGCCAAAGACGTGTGGGTTTATTTCTGGAGTGTCACTTCTATTCCACTGGTCTATATGTCTATCCTTATAGCAGTACCACACTGATTTGGCTAATGTATCTCTACAGAAAGTTTTGAAATTGGGAAGTGTGAGTCCCCCAACTTTTTCAAGGTGGTTTTGGCTATCGGGGTCCTCTTGTAGTGCCATATAAATTTGAAAACTGACTTTTCCATTCTTGCGCTAAGAGGCTGTTGGAATTTTGATAGGGATCACATTGAACCTGTACATTGGATGGTACTGACATCTTAACAATACTGTCTTTCTGTGCATAAACATGGGTTAGCTTTCCACTGCTTCTAGTCTCCTTTCATCAGAGTGAGGCAGGAGAGGAAGGCAGTCAAGGAAGTGGCCATGTTCTTGGGACGCAGCAGCCCTGGTGACCGCCCAATCAATACAATAAGCCTCAGCATTCACACTGCAATTGAGCTCATTCAAGCAAAGCTATCTTCAGTAGGGACTTTCCCTTCTAGAGGGCAAGTGCATTTTGATTTTATCTGCCCTCAAACTGACCCTTTGCCCATTATAATAGTAAAACACACACTCCTGAGTGGAGATTGAGATGCTAATGAGACATGCGATGTACGAACAAGCATGTGCAGCTGCTGTGCACCCAGAAGACCACCCAGAACACGCTTCCTAGCAACACCTCTTCCCATCTCCTTATGAATAATCAAGGAAGACTCTCGTCAAGGAGTCTCCCTAGTGCCCGTCTTTGCTGTCTCGCCCTCAGGAGCAGCCCGCCCGGAATTTTCTCTCTCTCAGGGTGTACCGTCTATTCTGCACCCAACTTTCAAAATATTCTTTTTTTTTGGCAATACATTACACTGCACTTCTTTTGTTGTGTGTCTCTTGTTTAAATTCTTTTAAACCAAGAAGACAAGAACCAAGGTATCACATCAGTTGTTGACAAAAGTTTTGTAGTTTTGTTTTTGTTTTTTTTTGAGACGGAGTTTCGCTCTTGTTGTCCAGGCTGGAGTGCAATGGCACAATCTCGGCTCACTGCAACTTCTGCCTCCCAGGTTCAAGCAACTCTTCTGCCTCAGCCTCCTGAGTAGCTGGGACTACAGGCACATGCTACCACACCGGGCTAATTTTGTATTTTTTTTTTTTTAGTAGACATGGGCTTTCTCCGTGTTCGCCAGGCTGGTCTTGAACCCCCGACCGCAGGTGATCCGCCCACCTTGGCCTCCCAACGTGCTGGGATTACACGCGTGAGCCACCACACCCAGCCTTGTAGTTTTTAATGTACAAGTCTTTCACCTCCTTGGCTACATCTATTCCTAGGTATTTTATTCTTTTAGATGTGATGGTAATTGGAATTGACTTCTTAATATCTTTTTTGGATTGTTAATTGCTGGTATATAGAAACAACTGTTTTTTTGTGTATTTATCTTGTACCCTGCAACTTTGCTGAATTCATTTACCAGCTAGAGTAGCTTTCTTGTGAATTTTTGGGTCTTTCTGTATATAGGAACGTGTCATCTGTGAACAGTGTTACTTCTTTCTCTCCAATTTGGATGCCATCTTAGTCTGTTTTGTGCTGCTGTGACAGTATACCACAAACCGGGTATTTTATAATGAACAGAAATTTATTGGCTCGTAGTTCTGGAGCCTGGGAAGTCCACGATTGAGGGGCTGGCGTCTGGCTTCTGGCTGCATCATCCCGTGGTGGAAGGGCAAAGAAAAGGTGAAAGAGAGCAAGAGTTCAATTTTGCAGACTCAAGACCTTTTATAATTGACATTAATTCGTTCATGAAGTTGGGGCCCTTAAGACCTAAACACCTCCCAGCACTACCATATTGGAGATGAAATTTCTAACACAAGCTTTTTGGGGGACACATTAAAATGACAGCAGATGCCTTTTACATTTTTCTTGTCTAATTCCTCTGGTTAGAACTTCCAGGACTATGTTGAATAGCAGTGGGAAGGTAAGCATCCTTGTCTTGTTCCTGATTGAAGGGTGAAGATTTTAGTCTTTTTAACACTATGATGTTAGCTGCAGGTTTGTCATAAATGCCTTTTATTATGTTGAGGAAGTTCTTCTATTCCTAGTTTACTGAGAGTTTTGCTTTTAATCATGAAAGAATGTTAAAGGCCTTTTCTGTGTCTATTGAGATAATCATTTTATTTCTTCCCTTTTTTCTTTCCTTTTCTTTTGAGACAGGGTCTTGCTGTTACACAGGCTGGAGTGTAGTGGTGTGATCATAGTTCACTGCAGTCTGGAACTCATGGGCTCAAGTGATCTTCCTGCCTCAACCTCCCAAAGTGCTGGAATTACAAGTGTGAGTATCACACCCAGCCTCAAATTACAATTTTTTAAAAGCTGAAGAAAAAAACCATAAATATCACAAAATCCAGAAAAATTACTTATTAGTATCAATACTGAGAGCTCTATGATACATTTTTTGGCTGCATACTCTTTGATCACTTTTTCGTAAGACAATGATTATCCAATATCACTTTCTATTGGGATAATGAAAAGATAATTCCTCTAACATGGTTGACTCAAATTTGTTTTTTATCATTGAAAATTTAGAAAAATTTCAGCGTCTCAACTGATTATTGGTGATTCCATGTCTCTTTTTGTTTCTTTTGAGACAGGGTCTCTTTCTGTCACCCAGCCTGGAGTGCAGCAGCACGATCATAGCTCACTGTAACCTTGTACTCCTGGGCTCCAGTGGTCCTCCTGCCACAGCCTCCCTAAGTGCTTGGATTATAGGCATAATCCACCATACTTGGCCTGCGGCATTAATTCAGTCTTAAAATCAGGAAGTGTAAGTCCTCCGGTTTTGTTCTTTCTAACAATTTCACTGGCTATCTTCTAGGTCACTTGCATCTCCACACAAATTTTGAATTTTAATTTTTTTTTTTTTTTTTGAGACAGAGTCTCGCTCTGTTGCCCAGGCTGGTGTGCAGTGGCGCCATCTCGGCTCACTGCAAGCTCCGCCTCCCGGGTTCACACCATTCTCCTGCCTCAGCCTCCCAAGTAGCTGGGACTACAGGCGCCCACCACCACGCCCGGCTATTTTTTTTGTATTTTCTTTAGTAGAGACGGGGTTTCACTGTGTTAGCCAGGATGGTCTCGATCTCCCGACCTCGTGATCCGCCTGCCTTGGCCTCCCAAAGTGCTGGGATTATAGGCGTGAGCCACCGTGCCAGGCCCCAAATTTTAAATTTTTAAACTGTTAATTTATTTCTCTCTGCGTTTCTTAGACAGGATCTCACTATGCAGTGTAGGCCAGTCTTGAACTCCTGGGCTCAAGTGATCCTCCTGCCTTAGCCTCCAGAATAACTGGGAACAGAACCTGTTAACTTATTTAAAAAAGTACTGAAATTTTGATTGGAATAGTGTTAGATCTATGGATCAATTTGGCGAGAACTAACATCTTAACAATATTCCATCTTCCAATCCATGAACAGACTATATCTCTCAGTTATTTAGTTCTCCATTTCTTTCAGTAATATTTTATAGATTTCAGTGTGCAGCTTTGCACATACTTTGTTAAATGTATAAGCATTCCAATTTATAAGCTATTGTAAGTGAAATAAATTTCATTTATTCCTGAATTTGAAATGTCATTTTCCAATTATCCATTGCTAGTATTCACAAACACTGTTTTCTGTATACTGACCTTGTATCCTGTGGCCTTGCTAAACTCACTAGTTCTAATAGCATTTTGTAGATTCCTTCAGATTCTCTTAATTTATAAACAATCATGTCATTTGCAAAAAGTTTTATTTTTTTCTAATTGGAATGGCTTTTATTTCTTTTTCTTGCTATAGGACCTCCAGTACAAAGCTGAATATAACTGCCCTTTCTGGCCAGGCGCAGTGGCTCACGCCTGTAATCCCAGCACTTTGGAAGGCCCAGGCGGGTGGATCACAAGGTCAGGACTTCGAGACCAGCCTGGCCAATATGGTGAAACCCCATCTCTACTAAAAATCCAAAAATTAGCTGGGCGTGGAGGCGGGCGCCTGTAGTCCCAGCTACTCAGGAGGCTGAGGCAGGAGAATCGCTTGAACCTGGGAAGCAGAGCTTGCAGTGAGCCGAGATGGCGCCACTGCACCCCAGCCTGGGTGACACAGTGAGACTCAATCTCAAAAAAAAAAAAAAAGTGCCCTTTCCTTATTCCCGATCATAGGAAGAAAACTGTTTGGTCTTTCTCCATTAAGTATTTAATATTAGCTGTGAGTTTTCATAAATGCACTTTATCAAGTTGAAAAGTTCACTTACAGTTCTAGTTTGCTGAGTTTTTAATCATAAACGGTGTACGGATTTAACGTGCTTTTTGATATGATGTGGTCTTTCTTTCAGTTTGTTAAAATGGTGAATGAATTGAGTAGAGTGATTTGTGAATATTAAACCAACATCGCATTCCTGGGTCAGATCTCACGAGGTCGTGACAGTGCGTTACCCTTTTTACACCTTTAGATTTGATGTACTATTTTGGTAAGGACTTCTGTGTCTAAATTCATAGGTCATACTGGTGTTAGGTTTTTTTCTTACTGTCTTCGTTTGATTTTGGTATCAGGGTAATTCTGGTCTCATAAAGTCAATTTGCAAATATTCTCTCTCTCTTTCTAAGAGTATTTTGTAGGATGGGTATTATTTCTTGCTTAAATGAAAGACAGAATTTACTGGTGATGCCATCTGGGACCGGAGTTTTCTTTGTAAGAAGGTTTTCAATTCACGGAAATTCAGCTTCTCAGTTTTGAGGAAGGCTCTTGCAGAAAAGCTTTCCACTGCTGGAAAACCTGCCAGCCATTCATGTCACATGTGCTAACTAGAAGTGAAAAGCAATAATTACTTGATAATAATTACTACAACCTGGCGGTGAGAAAAGATCCATCAAGATTCCTATCAAGCTGCTATGCAAGTGGCCTAGATAGAATTATCCTTGGATTTCTAACAGTGTGTGACGCACACTAGGGAAGCTCTGGTCCCCACCCCCGTGAGTAGCATCTAATAGTGTGTGACACACCAGGGAAGCTCTGGTTCCCACCCCGTGAGTAGCACGTTCCCAGGTTCTTCCTTTTTATTCCCTCTGCACAAATATGTTTCCCTCAGCAGATGCTAATTCCTGGAGCTGGTACCATTTCTTGTTTCCGGGGCCCCAGAACCCGGCTCAGTGCTAGGCACACGGCAGGCATTCAAACGTTTGCCAAGGTAAAGACAGTGATAAACGCTGTTGCTCATAGTTCTGCACTGATCTCACGGGAATAGACAAAAAGGTGAGTTTGGGAGCAACTCTTCTTTGATCAGGGAGAAGAGAACGGGTACCTATTGGTTACCGCAGCTTTTCTCTCAGTAGCCTAAACCCAGGGAGATTGAAATAGTACAAAAATTCCTTAAGGAAATTTCTAACCCACTGTAGCTTGTATAGGGTTAGGACAGGAGGCTCAATAAATGTTTATCTTTGGGGTTGTTAAAACAGCAGATGGCACTAGAATTTGTGCCATAAATCCTCGAATCACTCTTACTTACTCTTTTTGAAGATAGAGGCAACAGGGCAGTATAGAAACTATGACGGATTTGGGAGTTGTAAGATCTGGATTGGAGGGATGTGTATTTACTAATCTCAGCATCAAATGAAAAAATGTGTAAACACCACACACACTGCACAAAATCGTACACAACAGCGAGCCCAAAGAAACGGACAGTTACGCAGTTCATGTCACCAGAAGGGAAAAATTCAGCCTCTCTCTGGATTGGGAGTAAATGCCTCAAGGCCACCTTCAGCAAAGCAGGTGAACAGCTAAAGGATTTCTGTGTCCTTTCCCACCTTTCACCTTTCTCCATCCCTGCCACTCCTACCCCATATCCTCCCGGCACCCCAGCAAAACCCAATTCACGTAAGTCCTTCAAATAAGGCCCGTGGGCCGAGTGCGGTGGCTCACGCCTGTAATACCAGCACTTTGGGAGGCTGAGGCAGTCGATCACCTGAGGTTGGGAGTCGAGACCAGCTTGGCCAATGAAACCGCCGTCTCTACAAAAAATACAAAAATCAGCCGGGCGCGGTGGCGCATGTCTGTAATCCTGGCTACTTGGGAGGCTGAGGCACGAGAATCACTTGAACCTGTGAGGCGGACGTTGCAGTTGGCAGACACTGCGCCACTGCACTCAAGCCTGGGCGACAGGGCGAAAAAACAGAATAGAACAAAACAAAAAAACAAAATAAGGCCCCCTTCAAATCTTAAATCCTCCAGAAGATTTTTATTTTTAAATCTAAAAGAATGAATGTTTAGAATAATCTTCAGCTACTGTCAGCAGATGGGGGAGGTATTTTAAAGCAGAAGAGCCGTTACCTAAGGACCTATTAGTCTTCCCAAAGTAGATGACTGTCTACTTGTAGGGCCAGATCAACTTCTGAAATCAAAGTTTCACTTTAAAGCAGTTTTTTCTCAGCACCCAATGGTTCAAATAAACTCTCTGAGACACTTTGTTGGTACAGATTTTAAATTACAAGCTTGATTTGATACCCTCAAATACAGTTCTTAAGGAAGATTAGTTACAAATAGTTGTCAGTACTTTCAAATGACAGAAAAAATTACATTTTAGTAAAACTGGATGAATTTTTCATGTGTGAAATAACAATCCTTTCACCACCAGGTGGAATTACTCCAGTTCATGCAATAGATAACTATGACATTTTTAAAAACTGCCCTAATTTTTCTAGTTGCGATTTCATGCCTATTGTAAGTCAAAACATCGTTATGTTCCCGAGCTCACCTCACCCTCCCTGGGAAGTGGCGAGGACACCCATGGTTTCTCTGAGACACCACTGGGCCCCTGCTTAGCAAGCTATTGTCTCAGTGCTTTCCTCTTGCTGCGAAGGTCCCCAGGAGATGTTGGGTTCAGAGGAAGTGGCTCTGGTTGCCTATGGGCAAATACTACACCAGAGGTTACACAGGATAGAGACCCAAGAGGTGAACAGGAGGGAAGTTTTAACTTATTTTGACATAAAATTGGCAAAAATAAGCATCACCAAATTTCTGTAACTAGAAATTGAGGATAAAACAGAGGAGGTTTGTCTATGATGAGGATGTCCATCACAGTAGAACTTGTGAATAGCTTTTATAGAACCACTTAATATAGTACCGTCAACATTTTACATATTTTACATACAATTTGAATACAAATTCTTAAAATTTATAATAGAACATTAAAATAATCTTCTAATAAAATCAGCCTTAAGTATAAGGAATCTAAATTTCATTATCTTGTACATTTCTAAATAAATATCTTTGATCTATAACCCTTGAAAATATTACAGTTTATGGTGACATGATAGAGACAAGTCAAACAGTATTATAAGTGAAAATGAAACATCAATTTAAAATGAACAAGTGTAAAAACACGCGGAACTGAAATTATAGAAAATCAAAACACTAAATACACAGTAATTAAATATCTAGCACTGGAATCACCAAATGCATGCGCAGTAACACACTTTCAACTGATATAAAAAGCCCTTTAAGATTCACATAATCTAAATAAATAAGCAGAAACACAAAGGGAGGTACTGTGCCAGCCAGTAACAACTAGAAAGTAAGTTCTCCCTTTTTCTTTCAAATGATCCTAACAGAAGACAGGAAATAAAGATCACTTGTTAAAAACTATAATTCATGTTTGGTTTTTCTTTGTTGTTTTTTTTTTAATGCTGCCCGATAAAGTCAAAGCAAGGCTTCCTAAATGTTAGACCACTACACCTCAGATAAGGAAAGGCCACCTAACGGACAGATTTAAACAAAAATCAGACATTTGTCTATGGAAGGTATGATTGAATTTTTGCGTAATGACCCCGCAATAGGATCTAAATCAAGCCCACAACAAGAATGCACATTCAAGCATCTGAATGCATGATCTGTTAATACTGAATTCTATATGGTGATTTCACTCAGCAAAGTACTGGTTTATTCTATATAAGACCAGGATTAAAACACCTACAGTGGGAACTGTATCTTACTTAAGTTTGCATTCTGGTTCTCAGAATCTCAGAACATAATAGGTGTAAGCGTTTGCCAAACTGAGTCCAGCATTCATGATTTCAGGAAGCTTTGCATCCGTGACAAAACTGTTGCCTGAGACTCAGGGGAGCTTTTTCTTTGGTCTCTAGGCCTGTGATTAATTTCTGGCTAATCAAGTTAATTGACACAGATCTGTCACAGTTTCTCATTGCAGGGTCAAGAGTTCTAGAATTCATCTATTCCACAGTTAAGCCTTCTCCAAAGATTTGTGCCTGCACATCATCATCAAGTTAAAAGAAGAAAGATCATCTTTGTGATGTTGGGTATTTGCTTATGTTAACTGCCGGAAGCACATGCGCACGCACACACACGCAAACACACAATCACTTCATAAGTGGAGAACAGAAGTGAAATAATACGCAAAGCCTAAATTACACAGCTCCCAAGTTAACTAAAGAATGACACTGAAACCATAAGGTAACTCCTTCTGATTACACACAAACTTATTGCGTGATGGCGGAAAGCAACTTCTATGACCCAACAAGTGTAAACCAAAAGTGTTCTTTAACCATTAGCTTGACAAGGTAGCTAAAAATAGTGTGGTTAAGACTACCCTGTTTAATTCTGCTCAGTGTACCTCATGACATTAGGAGGCAGTGAGGAGGAGATGGATATGCTCTCTCCAAAGACCATTCCTTCCATCCACAATGCTTAGATTGATATTTGCCTCACTGTGTGGATTATTCTAACAGAGTTCCTCCGGCTTGCCACTTAAAGTTGCTATTTCTGATGTCCTTGGTTCCTAACAGAGGGAAGGGGGAATGCTACAGAATTCCTGAAAGAAAAACTGTTTAGAAAGTCTCCCGCCTTTCACTCTCACTGCCAGCATGTCTGTGTCTGGAATGCTGCTAGGAGAGGTAGATCCAGTGCTTCAGTTCTGCCACTCCCTGAAGTAACTTAGTGTAATAGAAGTCCATGTTGTCTGCAAAGTCAGTACAAACAGGTGACTCCATGTCACCGAAAGTGCAGTATAATGCAGTTCCTCCAACACTGAGGAAAACCGTTGCTATGCACAGCAAGACCAGCAAAATACAGGAGCCACCTCCAACTTCATCTGCAAACATGAGAAAGAGTGAGGTTACATTGTCACCGAAATGGAAATCTTAGCATCTGCTGTCTTTTCACTAATTAAGATAACTACACATTTCTACTGTTGGTCCTCTACGGATAGGAAGTATTGACAGAAAACTCATGCTGCTAATGACTCTACAAAGACCTACCTATTAAATACCAAGAAGATTCAGACTTGTGGAGCTTGTACAAGCTAAAATTAAAACTAGCTCATTTATACAATGGACAGAATCACTCCATGAGAAGAAGAAAAACAGCTCACGTGCTCATAGCACGCATTAATGAATTCATTCATTTTTGTTTGTTTTTTAGAGACAGGGTCTCACTTTGTCACCCTGGCTGAAGTGCAGTGGCAAAATCTTGGCTCACTGCAGCCCTGACACCTGGGCTCAAGTAGTCCTCCTGCCTCAGCCTCCTGAGCAGCTAGGACTACAGGCCTGTGCCACCATGCCTGGCTATTTATTTTTTATTTTTTGGTAGAGATGGGGTCTCACTATGCTGCAGAGGGTGGTCTTGAACTCCTGGCCTCAAGTTATCTTCATGTCATGGCCTCTCAAAGTACTGGGATTACAGGTGTGAGCCAGCATGCCCACCCCGACAGCATTATTTGACAGTCTACAGTACAGCCTGGCTGTTCTAAGATCCTTGGGGTTCACATAATGGGACTACCTGAGAGCAAAGTCGACTTAATATTAAACAATAAAAATGCCTTTGGGTGGGATCTCTTTTGCATCTTTCTATATTGAAGAAAACAATCATTCTTTGGTTGAAAAATATCTTAATTATTCATAATTTAAAAAAAATTTTAATTTCAAAAAGACCAAAAAGTCTTCTGATCTGCAGCATGATTAAAGTGTAGGAATGCCTTTTTGGAAGGTAATTTGGCAGTATCTATTAAAATTTAAAATTAATTTATCCTACAGACTGGACAATTTTGAGAGTAAAAGACAGTGTTAAGGCTGGGTGTGGTGGCTCACGCCTGTAATCCCAGCACTTTGGGAGGCTGAGGCGGGCGGATCACGAGGTCAGGAGATCGAGACCATCCTGGCTGACACGGTGAAACCCCGTCTCTACTAAAAATATAAAAAATCAGCTGGGCGTGGTGGCAGGTGCCTATAGTCTCAGCTACTCAGGAGGCTGAGGCAGGAGAATGGCATGAACCTGGGAGGCGGAGGTTGCAGTGAGCTGAGATCACACCACTGCACTCCAGCCTGGGCCACAGGGCGAGACTCCTTCTCAAAAAAAAAAAAAGAAAAAAAGACAGTGTTAACTGAATGCAATTCCGGGACAACAGGTGTAAACCAGGACGGCCTCAGGCCACCTGGGACATATAGTTTCAACATATCCCAGCAAATCCACCTTTAAGAATTAGGCTACAGTTCTGCACAACAAATATCATATATACAAGCTTGTTCACTGCAGCAGGGTTTGTTATAACAAAAGGCTGGGAATAACTTAGTGGTTCTGGTTACAATGGAACAGTTAAACAATTATGGGACATTTATATAATGGAATATGATGTAAGTATTTAATAGAATGAAGTAAATTTAATATGTTCTTTCATTGAAGGATGTCTAAGACTCATGATTTAATTTTTACTTTATTAAACTGATTTTTTTCATAATTAGCATATATTTTTACAAGAAACAAATTTTACAAAACCTAATGGATACCAAATAGACTTTATTTAGAACATTGTGCAGTAATACATGAATATATTCTCCCTGTAAAAACGCAACCCCAAAAGCATCTTAGAGTCTAAGGGACTATCCGTTTTTCTCCCGCCCAATCATATTTCCTTCCCATCCCAGAGGTAAACACTGTTAAATTTGGTGTGTGTCATTTCAGATCAAACACGTATGATTTCAGGACTTACATCAAAATAGGATTAAAAAATTGTTTGCTCTGAAATTTACATTTTAAAATAGTTGTTTTTTTTTTTGAGACAGAGTCTTGTTCTTGTTGCCCAGGCTAGAGTGCAATGGTGTGATCTTGGCTCACTGCAACCTCTGCCTCCTGGGTTCAAGCAATTCTCCTGCCTCAGCCTCCTGGGTAGCTGAGATTACAGGCACCTGCCATCATGCCTGGCTACTTTTTGTATTGTTATAGAGATGGGGTTTCACCATATTGGCCAGGCTGGTCTCAAACTCCTGACCTCAGGTGATTTGCCCGCCTTGGCCTCCCAAAGTGCTGGGATTACAGGCATAAGCCACCACGCCCAGTCTAAAATAGTTTATACCTATGTATGAAAATATGTCTTTTATATAAATGAAGAAATAGGATCATATTAATCATGCTGTATTTTTTTGGACAGTTCGGTCTTGTCTTTCTTTTTTTTTTTTTTTTAGACATAGGGTTGTGCTCTGTCACCAGGCCACACTCACTGCAGCCTCAACCTCCTGGGCTCAAGCGATCCTCCCATCTCAGCCTCCCAAGTAGCTGGGACCAAAGGTGCACACACCACCATGCCCTGCTAATTTCTGTATTTTTTGTAGAGATGGGGTCTTGCCATGTTTGCCCAGGCTGGTCTCCAACTCCTGGCCTCGAGTGATCCAGGAGGAAGACTTGGGAGGAGGCTTCCCCAAGTGCTGGGATGACAGGTGTGAGCCACTGCACCATGCCTTACGTGCTTTTCTTAACATGATTCCTACCCCCACTTCATCTATGTTAACAACCTAAAGTATTTTTCTTCATTATCATATATTCAAATCCAAACATTTAAATATAGCTTAAATATGTAAAAGCATCTATGCTGTTTGTTTTATTTATATGTCCTAGACCTGTCTGAGCTGTACTGTCCGATGTGAGCCACAGGTGGCTGTTGGGCACTTGACATGTAGCTGGTCCAAACTGAGCGGCGATGAACACAGATTCTGAATACTTAGTGTGAAAAAAAGGATGTAAAATGTCTCACTAGTAATTTTTTCATATAGATCACATTTTGAAATAATTTTTATGTACTGGGTTAAATAAAATACATTCTTAAAATTCTGGCCAGGTGCGGTGGCTCACGCCTGTAATCCCAGCACTTTGGGAGGCCGAGGCAGGCAGATCACCTGAGGTCAGGAGTTCGAGACCAGCCTGGCCAACATGGTGAAACCCCCTGTCTCTACTAAAAGTACAAAAATTAGCCAGGCGTCGGGGAACATGCCTGTAATCCCAGCTACCTGGGAGGCTGAGGCAGAAGAATCGCTTGAACTCGGGAGGCGGAGGTTGCAGCGAGCCAAGATCGCACCACTGCACTCCAGCCGGGCGACAGAGTGAGATCCCGTCTCAAAAAAAATAAAATCAAATAAAAAATAAAATTCATCTCACCTGTTTCTTTTCACTTTAACATGGCTACTACAAAGCTGAAAATCATACATGTGCCTCACATTAATTTCCAGGGGATAGCATTGGCTTACAGAAGGAAGAACAGGCCCTTTTAGGAAGATTTTGGCAGAAGGTGAGGTTTATGAAAACACCGTGTAAGTCACAGAGCTTAGGAACAAACCAACACAATCAACATTTACATTTAGTTTTATAATTCTCAAAATGAATTTATACATATTATCTGACACGCTTTTCAATAGGGACAGAGAGGCAGATGTTATTCTCCTTATTTTAAAGATGATGGAACTCAGTCTCCTACAAGTAAGTGACTTAGTTTAAGATGAGGTGGCTACAAAGTGAAATGCAGACTGTGAGTTTCAAATCCGGGGTTCCTCCTATTAAGGAACGATTTGGTCAAATTAGTGCAAACAGAAGTGAGCACCTTATCTGGAGAAGACTGTGAGAGTTACAAGCAAGGTGCAGAAGTAAAATCAGGGGTTAGGACATTATTTCTAAGGCCCCCTAACCAGCTTTCTAATTGTAAAAATGCAGAAACCTCTACTGTTATCACTTATGTCACACCCAGAAAGCATACCTAAATATTTACACTGTTATTTTAACAATGCAGTTGTTTTATGAATATGAGAAGCCCACTGACAGGTTCTGGGTTACCTTTCCATTTACTCTTATTTACTTACACCTTAGATAAACATATTTGCAACCATAAAAGGCAGCATTGTTCACTACAAAACTCACCACCTCATGTTAGACCAAGTCAGGGCCTTAAGTTTGACAGGCCCAGGACGAAGAAGTCAAACAGCAGCAATGGTGTAAAACTGCTGCTCTCGAGAGACACTCTTTTCTATCAATGAAGAGGAAATCACTGAAGAGAATATTCATAAATATTTTCCACAATAAAGGAGGAGTATTAATTGTCCACTGAAAAGAAGACAAGCCGGGCATGGTGGCTCATGCCTGTAATCCCAGCACTTTGGGAGGCCGAGGTGGGTGGATCACTTGAAGCCAGGAGTTCGAGACTAGCCTGGCCAACATGGCAAAACCTCATCTCTACTAAAAATACAGAAAACTAGCCAGGGCCTGGTGCGGTGGCTCACACCTGTAATCCTAGCACTTTGGGAGGCCAAGGCAGGCAGATCCTAACCTCATGAGGTTAGGAGTTTGAGACCAGCCTGACCAACATGGTGAAACCCCGTCTCCACTAAAAATACAAAAATTAGCCGGGCGTGGTGGCATGTGCCTGTAAGCCCAGCTACTCAGGAGGCTGAGGCAGGAGAATTGCTTGAACCTGGGAGGTGGAGGTTGAGGTTGCAGTGATTTGCGCCACTGCAATCCAGCCTGGGTGACAGAGCAAGACCGTCTTAAAAAAAAAACAAAAAAACAACAAAAGACAAAAATAGCAGACTCACACAAAAAGTACTAAAGAGGGAAACTGAACTAAGCTCTCAACATTAACTGTCTATGGAACAGGGAGGCCACAAGTTGAATTTTGCAGCTTGCTCACTTATTTAAGCAAGTAAAGATTTAGAAATGATTTAAGATGATAGTTGGATTTTATATGTTTCTCCCTTAGAAGATAAAGCAACTAAACTGACATATTCTTTTATTTACTTATTTATATTTATTTTTTGAGATGGAGCCTCGCTCTGCCACCTAGGCTGAAGTGCAGTGGCACGCTCTTGGCTCACTGTAACCTGTCTCCCGGGTTCAAGCGATTCTCCTGCTTCAGTCTCCTGAGTAGCTGGGATTACAGGCGCGTACCCCCACACTCGCTAATTTTTCTAATTTTAGTGGACACAGGGTTTTGTCATGTTGGTCAGGCTTGTCTCGAACTCCTGATTTCAAGTGATCTGCCCGCCTGAGCCTCCTAAAGTGCTGGGATTACAGGTGTGAGCCACCGTGCCTGGCGGACATAGTCTTTTACAAATCCTGTTAGTAAACGTCACATCATTCACAAACTCATCCTTTCAGCAAACACTGAGCATCTATCCTGCTAGCCACAGTGCCAAGCGGTTTACCTTGATCCAAGCTATCGTCTATTTCTTGGAATCTCACTCTTCGCTTAGATGGTTTGTGTTGCATTTGGGCAGGATGATCTCCTACAGTATCATTCCTCTTCTTTAATATGGAGACCAATCCTTCAGTAGGAACAACCTGTCAGAAATTATAAGAACCTATAATTCTTTTATTAAGGCGGGACATCTCTACATGTAGCTATAAAAAGGCTCATTCAACAGATATTTGAATTTTTATTACAGGGGTATCCAATTCCTATAGAAAAAAATAACATCAAAATCTAACAGAATAAAACTTTCACTTCTCTGCAGATGACTGAGAAACACAAAAGTCCAAAACCCTGGTTTCCTTTTTTAACCCCTGAACTCACTCCGGGGACAGGCAGCATGACGTGTTCAGTCGACTGGAAATCAGAACACCTTGCTTTGTAGCTTAACTTCCCTGTTATCGGTAAAATGATCACTCACAGTCCCCTCTTTGCTTCGTCATTAGCACTGGGTTTTGCTTTATAATAAATGCTTATAATCCTCCACTGCTTTTTTCATTCATCAGCAATTTTAAACAAATGAACATATGAAGCTTAAAATATATTTAGATACCAAGCTTTTAACATTAAAGTGTTGTCCTCAGTTTCTCTGAGAAACTACGCATTTACTAAATAATGCTCTACTGCTCACAATATTTTAAGGACTTCCAGAATTTCTCTCAGAGCCAGTTTACTAGGGACATTTTTTTTTTTTTTGAGACAGAGTCTTGCTCTGTCGCCCAGGCTGGAGTGCAGTGGCGCGATCTCGGCTCACTGCAATCTCCGCCTCCCGGGTTCATGCCGTTCTCCTGCCTCAGCCTCCGGGGTAGCTGGGACTACAGGCACCCGCCACCATGCTCGGCTAATTTTTTTGTATTTTCAGTAGAGACGGGGTTTCACCGAGTTAGCCAGGATGGTCTCGATCTCCTGACCTCGTGATCTGCCCGCCTTGGCCTCCCAAAGTGCTGGGATTACAGGTGTGAGCCACCGCACCCGGCCTGGGACATATTACTTTCTAGTATGCAGAGGTTGGCAAACTATGGCCCACAGGCCAAAGGCCAGTGCTGCCTACTTTTGTGAATATAATTTAATTGGAACACAGCTGAGCCGATTCATCTGAACACTGTGCACAGCTGCTTCTGGGCTACAATGGCACTGTGCGGTTCTAAGAGATCATAGAGCCTAAAATATTAGTAATTTGGCCTTTCCTAGAAAAAGTCTGCTGCCTAATATCTCTTCAGACACCCACCCCACCCCTTTATATGTTGCCTTCTAGCTCTTTCACTTGGGCTGCCTCTCTCCTGCCTATGTTCCACCCCTTATTTAGAAACAAAACCAAAAACCCTCGCCATTTAGGAGCTAACAGACTCCAAGGTGCAGGAAGAAGGAAGAGGAGCAGGTGGGAGAGCCAGGCTGGGAAGCAGGAGGCCTTGCCGAAGGCCCCTGAACAGCAGGGCCAGTCACAGAAGTTAACTTGTTAGTTGCCTGATTGCTACAAGCTGTAGGTGATGACACAGGCAGGCACTGTGGGCCTAACACCGAAGATGTCAGTGACTTGCTGGCATCAGGCCAGTGACTTGCTGGCATCAGTGACTTGCTGGCCTCAGTGACTAAGCTGAGGATGGCCTCTAATGTCATTTATCTAATCAATAGCATAAAACACTAAATATGACTTGCAGTTCCAGCCAGCCATCTTCGATAATGCGCTATGCATAAATATTACAGATTCGATTAGTTCTTTTTATATCTTAGGGCTTTTAGGGCCAAATAGACCAAGATAGTCTTTGACTATGCTTCCCTGAATGTGGGTCTATAGAAACCATTATCTCAAAAAAAAAATCAACAAGCCAACAATATATTCTTTTCTTTTTATAGGAAATAATGTATTTCAGAAGTCCTTGTTCTGAGAAAACAGAAGTACTTTAGTGGCCTTGAAATGGTAAAGTACAAATATATGAAGAAAGCAACATCGTCATTAAAGAACTCCCTCACACAACAGAGAAAACAGGTTTTATAAGCACCTTGCTGACACTGAGAGGGAAACAGTCTTAACCAGTTTGTAAAGAGCAAAAGATGGAAAACAAGAATTAATTTTCATGAATACATTACTACTAAAGATGTATCATTGATATTCTTTTAATTTTTAGTACATGTAAAAAAAAGGAGAGGATCTTGAATCTGGCTGTTCTAAAATTTTTCCAAAAATTTTAAAAGCGGGGAGGAAGTTTATTGATTCCTTCACGATCTATTTTCTCCATAAAATACTGTCATACACTTACCAATGGTGAATTCACCTACCACAGGGATTTTCAAGGTGCCGTTTTAACTACTTAGAAAAAACAACCCTATTAAGAATAGTTTTAAAGATGAGCCCCAGAGTTGTGTTGCTCTTAATTGATCTTTCTGATATGAATTCTGCATCTATAAATTCAAGAAACGGATACAAGCCATAAATCAAAAGACAATGCAAATAGGAACAAACATGTTGACAGAGGAAGAGAAGCTCCTGAAATCATCTGGAAAGGCACAGAATGAGCCAACTGAACCTAGAGCTGGTCCTAGTGCAGCGGCTGTGAGGTCCCTGCCTTAGCTCCTGCTCAGCCTCAACCAGGGAGGGTGGTGTTTGGCTGTGGAAGTCAACACTAAGGGATACAAGCCTTGTCAGGTGGTCCCACCTTATTTACTATGGGTGGCAATGAACTCTGGCAACTTTTTCTGAATTCTTTTTAAAGATGGGAGAAGCAGAGTATGAGAAATTACAATTGTGTGGGATGGGCTAACATTTTTGACACCCCCTCCGTCACAATACCTTAATTCTTGCTAAAAATCGAACCACGCCTTTTTTTTCTGCCACCAAAACCCTTTTGTTTCAGCAGGGCCTGCCCCAGTGTCTGAAGTGAAGGAGTCTGCTCTTTTCCATCATTTCCTTTCAGTTCTTGCTCAGTGATCTTCTCTAGGTCTTTCTGTTGTAACTGTCTTCTGATTCTACAGCCTACAGATGGAGAACAAGGGACGGTGGGCCAAGCTTATGCATAAGAGATGCAGGCCAAGGAGGCACTCTCAGGTGGGAGTGGCGGACAGCATCGAGCCTTTCTATTTTTGCGAGAGTTTTGGGCGCAGTTCAGATCTACCTGTAACAGAATTTTTTCTTACCACTTCAGGGCAGTCCAACATAAAGATCTTAAGAAACAAGTTTGGTGGGGTTTGCCTCAATTTCATACTTGAAGGGCAAGTAAGACAAAACAAAGTCATGGTCTCGGTTTGGGGTCTCACTCAAAAGACTGACAAGTGTTTCTAAAATACACTGGGCTGCTGATTTAGGGCATAGAGCAATGTGTTCCCTCCAAACTATTATTTTGTTTTGTTTTTGTCTGTTTTTTTTGAGAGAGGGTCGCACTCTGTTGCCCAGGCTGGAGTGCAGTGGCATGCTGACAGCTCGCTGCAGCCTCAACCTCCTAGGCTCAAGCAATCCTCCCACCTTAGCCTCCTGTAGCTGGGACTACAGGCACACGCCACCATGCCTGGCTAATGTTTTTGGCATTCTTTTGTGGAGACAGGGTTTTGCTGTGTTGCCCAGGCTGGTCTCGAACTCCTGGGCTCAAGCAACCCAAAGCACCAGGATTACAGATTTGCGCCACTGTGCCCGGCCCCAGACTATTCTTAAAAATATTTCCATTGTTTTTAAAACTATAGTGTCAGTATTAAAAGGTGAAGAATTTTTAAATCTCAAAAAATAAAGCCTTAAAACTAAATTTAGTTTCCCACTTCAATTGCCAAATTCTTACCCAAACAAATATACCAAGCCCTTCTATTGAGACCAAAAAGAATGTCTGAGCTATAATTAATGTAATTGTTACGGGTGGTGCTCTATGAATAAATGCAGAATTAAAAAAAATTCCATCTGGCCCAGTCTTCTGTATTTGCAAATAAATAGTTCTTCCCACACTTCCCCTCAAATATCAGTGACCACCTTAAATAGCATTTTCAGAATGAACTAGTTGTGAAAACAAAATTATTCGCAACTCTTCTGGAATAGTGAATCCTAATGTGACAAGAAAAATATTCAGAGACACACTGCTGTTGGAAGTGCCTCCTCACAAAATTAAAGAAGAAAACAGATACCAAGTCACATTCTTTTAATGATATAGGTTTCACTCAATTCAGAACCTCTAGGTTGGTCAATTCTGAACAAGAACACACAGTTGGCTTCCAACTGATTTGAGAATTAACATTCATAAATCATATTATTATAGTATATGACAAATAACTTAAGTGCCAGCAATTTCACTATAGTGGCACATGTCAAATTTACTGCTACTATTCCTAACTACAGAAACAAGTGATATTCTCTGCCCGCTTCTTTAGTGTTGGGTTCCATAATAACAACTATAATTTAGTAAATGTGTACATTTTATGTAACGATATTTACATACTATATCATATTTAATTTTCACAACTCTCTTTTAGAAGCCTTATCAGCCCCATTTTGCAGACGAAGAGGCCAAGCTTCAAGGGCTTGAGTAACTTGCTTAAGCTTGCAGTGCCAGTAGCTGGTAGAGTTTGAAAACAAATTCAGTATCAAACCTCTTGCCAGTTCCTTAATGTGAAAATATCTTATTTTCTATGACTATTAAAATGTTGCTTTATGCCATATGCTATAATATATATTACAATTAAAACAAGATTAATAGAACTTTCAAATAAGACTCTAGCAAAAATTCTTATCTTACACATCACCTCATTTATGAGATACTTAAACTAATGGCCAAATTTGCCCATCTAGAGACACAGGGGAAGAGGAGATTAGATGAAAGATCTTTGTGTCATTTGATTAATCTGGAAGTAGACTAATGTCATGGCTCCTTCTATGGCAGATTGATAAAAACATGTCACCGCTGGGCCAGGGAGTACCAGCTGTAAGCAGCAGCCATTTTCCAGAAAGAACACGGCGGTCACCTCAGACCCACAGCACTGCATCTTAGAACACTGCAATACAGGGAGAAGGCAAACAAGGGGAAAAACGCATGATGATGAAGTACATCAATGTCGAATCTTTAAAAGATTCACTTAAAAAGGAAAAAGCCTTTAAAAAAATCACAGGAGTTTTACAATGTGTCTAAGTTTCTAGGTGAGGCATTACCTCATGTTTTTGCAATTTGTTTTGCTTGCTTAAGGGGGCAATTTAGTAAGTACAAAATAGAAAAAGAAATGAGAATGTCAAGATATGATCCCATTTTTAAGGCCCAGAAAATTGTTTAAATAGCTGCCAGTTCAGTTACTTTAAATCCCCTGACCTTGCTGAAATTCTTTAATAGTTCTTCCAGTATCCAAAACTATATTTTTGTTTTTATGTTAACTTATTACGTGTCTCTCCCTCTAGAAAGTAAGCTTTATGAGAGCAGGGACTTGATCTGTGTTCAGCGCTGTCTTCCTAGTTTCTATAATATAGTAGGTGCTCACTAAATATGCCAAAGAATAAAAAAAAAAACACAGATAAGCAATTTACATATAGATAGCACCTAGCAAATACTTGTTTGAGTAATGTAGCTTTTTCACTGAAAATAATCAAAACCAAATCTATCATTAAAGGATATTTATTTTTATAAGTGAACTAAGAAAAAAAGCCTTACTGTGTATAGTGGCTGTTATTTACAACAGCCTGTATTAGCTTTGCAGAGAATATAAAGATGTATTTAACAGAATCCGTATCTTTAAGGAGTTTGCAGTTTGATGTAGAAGACAGTATGTGTGCGTCTTACGATAACAGAGAGAGATTACAGCTAGACAGGACTTTGGGAAGAGTGATGTTCCAGCCTCAACCTCATTTGAAGTTCCGAGGAATTGTTTGAAAGAAACAAACTTCTGGACTCCAGTGATCAGGGAATCATAGCATCAGCTAGCACTTACTGAGTACTGGCCATGAGCTAGGCACTGTTTGGTACTCTCCATGCTAAAAAGCCATGACCTAGATGTGGAGGGCTGGGAAGAGATAGGTATGTGGAAAGAAGGTTGCTCACCTCAGGGTGGAGCTGACATACACAGAGGGAAAAGAGCAAACGTGACGACATGCAAGGTGTATCTGGGAGGTGGCGAGGGGGCCAGTCTGACTACGGTATAGTCTGAGACCCCAGGACAGAAGATGACGTTGGGGAGACAGAGTGGGCCAGATGACAGGAGTCCTGAATGTCGAGTAGTACAGCCTTTATCCTGCAGGTAAAGAGAGCCGTGGGAAAGGAATGATAGTTTAAAAGTGTTTCATAGCAGGAGTTTAAACTCACAGTCCGTGTGTTCGATCAAGAACCCTCAGCTGTGGTTGGTTTAATCTGTGGAGTTTAAAAAAGCTGTATACTTCCAGACAAGGCGTGGAAACCTTCTTCCTATCACTCTACACCTAACTCATTTCATTGACTTCTAATACCTGACTGGCTCCTTGGGTACCAGTTTGAGACCCCAAGTTTATAGAGTGCTAACGTAAGACCAATTTGGAGGGGAGAAGATGAAACAAGGGACAGGGAAACTTATTAAGTAACTACTGCAAAAGTCCAGGAAGAGCAGTACAAATATAAATTAAAAGAGTGATTAAAAAGGAAAAGAAAAAGAGCTTTGCGCAAGAGACATGGCTATCAAGAGAAGCATTAATTAATTAGAAAATGTAGAGGTCATGATAAAAACAAAAGGCAAGGACGAGGCCATTTGGAAAACAGGTAATTCCTGGGTTTTCCTTTGGGCGCTCTTTAGATATCTACATAAATTCTGGGCCAACCATTGTTTCTAAAACCTCTTACATTATTGGAAGACTGCATTTCTTCTATTGTGAGGAGGCTGGACTTCCCCTGCTCCTCTCAAAAGAGCCATTCTGGGCAGAACAACCATGATTGCTGTTTCTAAGACCCTCTTTTGTTCCGGATCCATAGAGCAGCTACCAATGTGATTTCATAAGCGACTACTGCTTAGTGCTAGCCTCCCATCTTCACTTGGCAAGAGAATCCCACAGCAGCTAGTCGTAAAGTAACTTCCCTGATCCCAGTGATCTATCTAGTCAAGAAATAACTACCTCACTTAATAGGCAACAGGGAAGAAAACTCACAGCTTCGATTAGATAGCTTCTCTAAAGGCAAATCCAGGAGCAATCTGGGTTGTCATTTTTCTCCCCACTAGACACTGTGAACTTATGTCCTCCCCTGTATTTTGCTTCATGTGATACAAGCAGTTCTGAAAACATTTAAGTAAATGTTGCTAATCTAGACAGAGGGCAAGGAACATGAGTTGCTCTCTCCTAGATTAAAAGCTTTCTTTTTTTTTTTTTTTGAGACAGAGTCTCACTCTGTAGCCCAGGCTGGAGTGCAGTGGTGCAATCTCGGCTCACTGCAAGCTCCGCCTCCCAGGTTCACGCCATTCTCCTGCCTCAGCCTCCCGAGTAGCTGGGACTACAGGCGCCCGCCACCACGCCCGGCTAGTTTTTTGTATTTTTAGTAGAGACGGGGTTTCACCGTGTTAGCCAGGATGGTCTCGATCTCCTGACCTCGTGATCCGCCCGCCTTGGCCTCCCAAAGTGCTGGGATTACAGGCGTGAGCCACTGTGCCCGGCCAGATTAAAAGCTTTCTAAAGACCCAAGCAGTAACACAGGGCTTCTTCCTCAGATTTTAGAAATAATGAAATTATTTCTAAAAACAAAAATCACTTCAATCTGAAACACTTAATATATTTTTCTGAACATATGACATTTCTGCAAGCAGATTATAAATGTAGATGTTAATGAAGAAAAATGAATGGTTTATCTCCACACAGCATATCATGTTGCTAAAATCTGCTCACAAGGGGACCTCTGAATTACATACTATGATTATTTTCAATGTTCAAAAATAGATTAACTTTCGTAAAATGTATCCAACATTCAATTTCAACCTCACTTGTTCAGAAAACAGCTACCTCATCTCTATGTGTGTAAGAGTCTGTACAAGCTGAGTGCGCACCCCCGTGGGTCATCCTGGCACTCTGAGTTTACATGGCACATTTCGTTCAAGTTTGGATGCTAGGAGCTCCCTCTGAGTCTCAGGCTACAGGAGGAACAGCTGAAGAGTTTAAAGAGAAGATAATGCAACTCTTCCAGGTTCCAGAACCAAACAAACACATGATTTATTTGCATGATCAGGTTCCTGAGTAAAGGGGGTTTGGGTTCTGACACTAAAATCATCACGTCAGTGTATTATAGGTATTATAATACAATTTCATCCTTTGCCAAAAACTATGGGATGTTCAAATTCAGCAAAAAGACAACACACTTGGTGCCAGACGACTGTTAGATTGCAGGCTTCATCTGCATAAAAATCCTTACGTGTATTTTCAGTCACTGCATCTGTAATGCGGCCCTCACAGAGAAGTCACTCAATAAAAATTACAGAATGAGAGAATAAACGAGTAAATCTTTCCAATGTGTTGTCTGACAATGCACATGTGATCATTTTTTTTCTTAAAAATCTATGAAAGGAGGATAAAATTTTTGATGCTTTTTAAAAACAGTATACAGTATAAACTATACTTTTGATGATAACGTGTCATGCTATTTTTTATGTAAGAAAGAATAGCAATACTTCAGATATTAAGCTATCACTTTACATAGCAAATTACTGGGTTTGAAAAAGCTTTCCAAACCTAGACAAGTTCCCTTTATACATGTCACTATATAAATAGTATAGACATTTTTAGTTCTCTGTGACATTTTATGTAAATTATTTCATTTGATCTGATGAATCCAACTGTTCAAAGCAACACAACAAAACAAGTGCTTGCACTGGGCTGGCAATGATGATCAAAACCAAATTCCACTGGAGCCAAGGCTGGGCAATGCAAAAGTGGCAAGAAAATGAAAGCAGACAGACAAGAGGAAAGGGGAAAGCTGGCAAAGAAAGAACAAACCAGCATGCTCTACCACAAACACAATGGTAGAAAGAGGGAAGTAAGAGAACCTGGGCGGGGAGAAATGATAGGGAGATCTGGGAAAGCGAACAGAGAAGGACCACCTGCGATAGCACAGCAGCGTGGAGGGGTGGAGGGGGCAGACTCATTGCCTCGGGGTTCCTAAGTGCAAGAAAAATGTTGTTCATAATTACTTGGTTATTAAGAGATCATGTTCTATATCCTCTAATCACAAACGGAAGGAAGCATAAAAAAAAATTTCAAAAACAATTCCAGTAAAATCAGCCAAGTGTGACAGCAGAGATCCCCCAAAAGGCCAACAACATCATCTGATTTCTCATTGTATCCTCAGCACCAAACACAGGGAAGACTCTTAATAAAATTTTACTGAAAGCACAAACAGAAAAAGTGTTTGAAGGCCAAGCATGGTAGCTCAAGCCTGTAATCCCAGCACTTTGGTAGGCCGAGGTAGGTGGATTACTTGAGGCCAGGAGTTGAAGACCAGCCTGGCCAACATGGTGAAACCCCATCTCTACTAAAAATATAAAAAGTAGCAGGGCATGGTGGTGCATGCCTGTAGTCCCAGCTACTCGACAGACTGAGGCACGAGTATTGCTTGAACCCAGGAGATGGAGGTTGCAGTGAGCTGAGATCGTGCCGCTGCACTCCAGCCTGGGCGACAGAGTGAGACTCTGTATCAAAAAAAAAAAAAAAAAAAGTTTGAATTAAAATTTTATATGTTCAAATCTAAAAGAAATTTTTAAAATAAAAATCCTAAGTTTGCACTTATAAGCAAACCCACAATTGCCTGGATATTTTACTTGGTCCAAAACCTCATTGTTAAGGTATTAGAAAATATTAAGTATTAGTGATTTTTAGCATTGAAACTTTAAAAACTCCTTTCCTGACAGAGTTAGGCAGACTTTGTTAAACCATGCTTTTCAGAATAGCGAGGGTAGTAAGTATTCAGAAAGCAAATGTTTAACAATCTGCTTGGCATTGTCATAGGAAAGTAAATTAGTTTTGTAAGTCATGTATATGTAGCTTTTGGGGTTCTTAAAATAGCTTAACTTAATAGATCAATATAATCTTAGGAAAGGAGACCATTATGTATTAACTTAATAGAAAAGACAACTTTAAACACATGTAATTTCCACTGTTAGCTGTTACCCAGCAGAAGTGACATTGTGTTTTGAGTCTGAGGAGGGAATATTCCATTTAATTGTAATACGCAACATTAATTTAACAATCTGCCACCTTAAAATATTTTTTCCCCAATATAAACAACTCTTTAATTTCTTAGAAATAGGATGACTCAGTTGAGAACAATTTTAAATTTAGTGATGTGGGGAAAAATAATTTGGGAAAGGGATGTTGATCAATTGTAGGCTTTGGAAATACATGTCAATAGATGACTGAAATATACAGGAGAAATGCTACAGACCTTTGATACATCCACGACAAGACCCTTGTGCATCTTCAACACAGCTGAGTAGGGAGGAGGTTGAAGATAAAGGTTACCAAAACTCAAAGAATTGCTCTGGAGGGGACATCTGGCAAACTAGATGATAGAAATTTATCCAGCCGAACAGCTTTCAGGCAGAAGCAAAAATTGAAATTCCAAAAGTTCCTATTATCCTCCCAAATATGAGTTACTGGGGAAAGATAGTTCTAAAAAGGCACACCATATGATTATCAGTGTGTAACTAGTCAAATGTTGAAATAGAGGAAAACGTTTTATAAGGTGGGCAAGACAACAGGAGCTCTCTGCTTCTTCTTCACAGTTTATACCTAAAAAGGTAAAATTAGACCACATGGGTTCTCCCTTTATGGTCAACTTGATTGTTGGCATGAGAAAGGACAGTCAGACAATGGTAACTTTTTGGTATTACAGCTAAGATTTGAATATGGGTATAAGCTTTGTGTTGTTAACTTCCTGTACCAGAGATTTAGTTAAAATGTACAAGAGAATGAATACCGGATTAAGTGCTATACCATTAGCTCTAATTTTTTAAAAAACTATTTTTAACATTGTGGAAAAATATATATCACATGAAACTGCCATTTTAACTCTTTGTAAGTATACAATTCAGTGGCATTCATTGCAATCAAAACGTGTACCATCACCACCATCTATTTCCAACATTTTTCATTGCCCCAAATGGAAATTCTGTGCCCATTAAGCAATATTAAATAATTTTGTTAAGCAAAAACTACGAAAAAAAAAAAAAAACAAAACAACAGTCTGTAGAGAATTAACTGCAAATGGCAACCAAGCTGTCTGGTTAAAATAAGAGAATGAATAGTAAGCCAAGTGCTTTACTATTCTATCTAATTTTGGCAAGAAAAAAATTAAAAAGAAAAGTCATTGTTTATAGAGAATTGACTATAAATGGCAATAAAGGGAGCTAGTAATATAGCAGCTATAATTACCTTAGACAGCTTTTCAGTCTTCTGTTTTCACATATATTTTACTGTCTACTTTGGCTTTGTTACTTTTTCATTTTCCCCCTTATTTTTTCAATGATAATGCTGATTTAGAACACAATGAGTACAAATGGGACTTAAAAGTGAACTTGGGGGGAAAAATGGTGAAGAAAAGGAAAGGCAGCTAGTATCCTAATTTTCAGAGAAGAAAACAGGCTTACAGAGGTAAAAGGTAACTCCAAGAAGCTGTTAACTACCTGGTGGGATTGTACTGGAACTAAGGCAATCGAATTCTGCTCTACCACACCAGGCCGCCTTCGTGAGTGTGCTGTAGTTTGGATATGGCTTTTATCTTTTCTTTTTCCAAACTTTTTTTTTGTATTATCAAACAATGAAAAATGGTAATTTTTCCTTAATCTCTTTTTTCAACTTAATATAAGGTTAAAAATTAATCTAGTACCTCTTATATTTTAAAATGTTCCCTCTATTCTTTAGACTATTTTAAAAGACTTAAAAAATATATTAACAAGAGGAAGAAACAGTAAGTACATATCATATTTTATCTGCTAGATGTATGAGAAGAAAAATGAGACTTCCTTATTAGAATGTGACTATTCTGGTTTTGATTCCAATATCTGGAACTGCCACATAACAGTCAGGACTATAAAAAATGGATATATACAATAACGCTCACTCTAGCTGGAGGCATGCAATAGAACATCTTGTAGTATGAACATTGCAATGATTAAAAGTCATTTTATTCAATACATACAAATGTAAAAACTACTAATAATTAAAAGCTTACGTTAACTAGAATTTTCCCTCATGTTTGAGACAAGGGAAAACTTACAAAAACAAGGCAATATTTAATACATATATATGTTTTTTAAATGCCATTTTACTTTTAATTGTACTTCATCTCTGATTTACCTCTGCAATCTCTATCCTTTTGGCAAGATCATCAAGAGAAAGACAGCTCTCATCAGAAGGCAGATTCTCCTGGAGACTATAGGATGCTTCTTCAGGAGAGAGATCTTGAAGGAGATCGGAGTCGTCGTCTTGGTTATCTTCATAGGAAAGGGAATCTTCAGTATCTTTTAAACATCCTTCTAAAAGGCTGTTCAAATAGTCTTCTGTTTCTTTGTTGAGTTGGTCGTCTTTATCTCCCTTTTCCTCTGGGGCCATACACACCTCTGGAAGCAGTATGCCTAAGTCAGATATTTGATTATTTCCACAGAGCACATTCTCAGAACCGTCTGAGTCAGCCTGCGCCTGTGGTGATTTTCCATCACTGTCTGTAAGATCAGGCTGCTGCAGCTCATTTAATTCATTGTTCTCAAGTTGGTCTGTGGGCAACGCCTCAGAAGCATCCCGAAGTGGCAAACGGAGTTCTTTCCTCTGAGCCTGTGAATATTTACCCTCAGAAATCAATGCAGGAGGTATACGGTCACAGCCTGGTGAAATCAACGGCTCTGTCTTTGACTTGCTGGAAAGAAACACCTTAGGGTCTTCAGCAATGCCCTCTATTCTGGCCACATCCTGGCAGGCCTCTGTTTGAGCCAGCTGCAAGCGACTGTCATCCTCACAAGCATCCTCAGAAGAGTCTGGCCCAGACGGGCTCCCTGCTGTCTCGGAGGACTGGGTGTGGAGCGCTAACGTGGCTTCAGCGCTGCAGAGCAGCTCCTCCATGTGGTCCTTTCCTGCAGTTACCGAAAGGCTTGGGGAATCTGTTTGCACGTCCATCTGATGACAGCAGGGACTGCTCCCCAGGGGCTCCACTGTATGTTGGCTTTCTTTACTTGACTCTGTGCCGAGACAAGTTTTACTCTCTAAAGATGAAGAAAAATAAATTGTTAAAAATTCAAAACAACACTTTGTATAGGAAGGAAAAGAAGGGACATATGAATATGTGTAATACAGCAATATTCTAACCCTTTCAAATGGAAATTCTGTCTGTTGCATAATAGTGTCTTTAGGTAGAGGAAATACCCAAAATATTTAGTAAAGAATCCTTATACATAACAGGGATTATTCAAAAGCATGTGAATATGAATAAATCACTTAGTCCTCATTAAAATCAACAAAGTCATTTTCAAAGGTTTAAAAGATATTCTGAACTTTATTAAACTTTTACATTAAAATGAAGTTACAAAAATTATTTTCAGCACATTTAAGGCATGGTGTATGGGGCCAGGCACAGTGGCTCACGCCTGTAGTCCCAGCACTTTGGGAGGCCGAGGTGGGCGGATCACCTGAGGTCGGGAATTCGAAACCAGCCTGACCAACATGGAGAAACCCCGTCTCTATTAAAAACACAAAATTAGCTGGGCGTGGTGGCACATGCCTGTAATCCCAGCTACTCGGGAGGCTGAGGCAAGAGAATTGCTTGAACCCGGGAGGCGGAGGCTGCGGTTACCTGAGATCACGCCATTGCACTCCAGCCTGGGCAACAAGAGCAAAACTCCATCTCAAAAACAAACAAACAAAAAAAGACATGGTGTATTAAGTAAATATTTTTACATGATGAACCTCAGTAACACATTCATCATTTTAAATGTAAGAAAAGTAGTACTGGTCTGGTTTACTAAGATTAAAGGAACAAACTCGGTTCTCTTCAAATTTATAATTTGACCATAATACCACTAATAAATGTGTTTGCAAATTACTTGCAACTTTTTTTTTTTTTTTGAGACGGAGTTTCGCTCTGTCACCCAGGCTGGAGCACAGTGGCGCGATCTCGGCTCACTGCAAGCTCCGCCTCCCGGGTTCACACCATTCTCCTGCCTCAGCCTCCCGAGTAGCTGGGACTACAGGCGCCCGCCACCTTGCCCAGCTAATTTTTGGTATTTTTTAGTAGAGATGGGGTTTCACCGTGTTAGCCAGGATGGTTTAGATCTCCTGACCTCGTGATCTGCCCGCCTCGGCCTCCCAAAGTGCTGGGATTACAGGCGTGAGCCACCACGCCGAGCAACTTCTTAAAGGGAGGTAGCAAAGGGTAGCAATAAAAAGGATAAGTTTTTGCAACAAGTAGAAATGGGTTTGAATTCTGACATCTCTTTCAATTTCTACTTTGAGTAAAACCAACTTATTTTTCCTTCACTTTAAAATGAAACAGTTAAAAACCTCCGTGTGAATAATGAATGAGAAGTGCATGGATGGGTAGGTAACAGAGAAGCTTGCTTATCCTCGCTTTATTGGTACACTTAGCATTCATAACTATTTTAGAAGCTTTAACCTTTTTGGCCGGGCGCGGTGGCTCAAGCCTGTCATCCCAGCACTTTGGGAGGCCGAGGCGGATGGATCACGAGGTCAGGAGATCGAGACCATCCTGTCTAACACGGTGAAACCCCGTCTCTACTAAAAACACAAAAAATTAGCCGGGCGCGGTGGCGGGCGCCTGTAGTCCCAGCTACTCGGGAGGCTGAGGCAGGAGAATGGCGTGAACCCGGGAGGCGGAGCTTGCTGTGAGCCGAGATTGCGCCACTGCACTCCAGCCTGGGCGACAGAGCGAGACTCCATCTCAAAAAAAAAAAAAAAAAAAAAGTTTTAACCTTTTTATACTAATATGTTGTTTAACTTAAATAAATAATGAGCCAAAGGTGAAAATAAAAGAGAAAATATGATGATAATTTTATTCCATTTGTTTATTTACTGATACTTTTTTTTTCTTTCTTTTTCACCCTGGACTCCAAAAACATATTGATACTTTAATACTAATCACCAACTGACAATTGAGGCCCATACCATATCAAGCAAAAGGCATTCCTGAAACATTGCCTGCAGATTTCAGAGCATCTGGTGCTGAGGCTGCCACTCAACTTCGGGCTGCTGAGAGGTAGCTATTCAGTAGAGTTCATAGCACCTCCCCTGACACCCTGACTCAAATATCAGATGCAGATCAGGAGAAGGAAGAAGGGGTCACCTTTGGGAGAATACAGCCTTCCTTCTCTCTCCCCACCCCAAAGAATCACTCAAAGTTTGTAAGGCTGCAAGAAAACAAAGGCACCTTTCACTTCCCTTTGGTTGCCTGCTTTGACACTGGGCTTGCTGTCTGCCCCTCCCTCTGTTAAAATGGGGCAAGGTTAGAGCAATGAGGGCCACATCCAAAGGAAAGGGGGCCAAGCCACTCCTCCATGAATTCCAGGTACCCAAAGGTTCAGAAGATGTCCCTCAAAACATGTCCACAGGACTCAGAGACTAAATAAGATTGGGGACCACAGTCCCACAGGCACTGTGAAAGCACAGGGCAGAGAGAACCCCCACATCAGAGGACTGGGGTGTGTTGCTTCCACCTGAGGGTCAGTTACCTAAAGGCTGCAGTTATCTAGGGGAGCAGCTTGGGAGTAACCTCCTCCGTAGCTGCTCCTGCTGGAGCCACCGCACAACCTGGGTTCAGTCATAATCACCAGTCCAGCTAACTCCAACCAGGAGCAGACAGTGTTCCCAGCCCTGGCAACTGGAGGGCGGAGAAGAGCTTTGAGTACAGTGAGATTTAAATGTGAAAATCAAGTTCAGGATTGAATAGGGCTAAGCTCTAAATAATCAAAATGAGACAATTTTTTTTTTTTTTTTTTTTTTTGGAGACAGAGTCTCGCTCTGTCGCCCAGGCGGAGCGCAGTGGCGCCATCTCAGCTCACTGCAAGCTCCGCCTCCCGGGTTCACGCCATTCTCCTGCCTCAGCCTCTCCAGCAGCTGGGACTACAGGCGCCCGCCACCACGCCCGGCTAATTTTTTTGTATTTTTAGTAGAGACGGGGTTTCACTGTGGTCTCGATCTCCTGACCTCGTGAACCGCCCGCCTCGGCCTCCCAAAGTGCTGGGATTACAGGCATGAGCCATCGCGCCCGGCAAAATGAGACTATTTAATAGCTTATAAGTGACTGAAAAGGTACAGAACAGTCTGAGGTGCCATTCTATGAGTAGGAGATGGGGTGATGGACAGCAGCTATGCCACGAAATACAACCACTTACAGTATGGTATCTAATGAACTGAGATACCACTTAAGTGATAAGTAATAAAGACTATCTGTGGGTACAATGTATTATTTACAAAATAGCCTGAAAATGGTTGCTTCATCCCATTATTTAGAAATACTACAGAAAATAATGGGGAAAAAAACTCCACCATAATTTTGGAAAAGGCAAGAGTTCCAAACTACATTCGGAGAGTCACCCACATTATTGACATTTCTCTTTAAAACACTGTTTGGTGAAACTGGAGCAACATTTCTTTCCCCAGAATTTAGTCCATACTCCCTCATAGGGTTATTCCTGGGACATCTGGATTGTTGAAGCCTTTGATAATCCATACAATGTACTTAGCAGAAGCAGGCTGCGTTCAATTAGAAATGGGAAGACCCAGGTTCTAGCTGCGAATCAAAGCACCAAGCAAGTGACTGAAACTTGGTACCTCAGTTTCCCCATCTGTACCACATGACTCAAAGCAGAGGCCAAGCAGGAGGAGGTGCTGCGCAGCAACCATGCTAAGTAAGTCTCAAACTCAAATGCACAGCCTGTAATAGCACTTTTCCCAAGGTGCTCAACACAGAGACACGTTCACACCCAAACTGGGCAGCTTTGTGATATTTTTCCTCCTTTAAGATTGTTATGAAGCTCATTTTACTGTGATTTCTAATATAAAAATGACTGGAAAAGACGGAAGAACAGAGTCTAGTAGGACTGACCCCAGGCAATATCCCTAGCTTGTTTCAGAAGTGAAAAGGAGATAAAGTAAGATTTGAAAGAATAAAAATATACTTTGTAAAGAGTAAAAGGCTGGCCGGGCATGGTGGCTCATGCCTGTAATTCCAGGACTTTGTGGGGCTGAGGTGAGAGGATCGCTTGAGCTCAGGACTTCCAGACCAGCCTGAGCAACATAGTGAGACCTCCATACCCACAAAAATTTTTAAAAATTAACTGGGGCGCCGTGGTGTGTGCCTATAATCTCAGCTACTGGAGAGACTGAGGCGGGAGGATTACTTGAGCCCAGGAGATCGCTGCAATGAGCCGTGATGGTGCCACTGCACTCCAGCCTGGGCAACAGCGTGAGACCCTGTCTCAAACAAAAAAGGGGGGAAAAAAGGCAAAAGGCTAATTATGACATCATCAACACCATCATCATCATCACCATCCATCACCACCATCATCACCATCATCATATCACTTCAGGGCAACTCATCCAAAACACCTGATACTTCCTCTTCAATATTAGGGCTCTCAGGCCCAGGAACATAAAGCCTAGAAATATATATTAATAGTAAAATTAGGTATCAAGGGAAAAAAACCCTAAAACATATTTATTTATTTTTATTTTCTAAAGCTTTTATAATGAGCAACATGCCAAACATTTAGAAGAAAGCCTCTTAAAATCTTTTGACGTAAGGCACAAGGTGGTATGAAATACATCATAAATGCTTTAGAAATGTATACATACAAACTAAAGTATATCATATGTTAGTAAACAGAAAAGGGGAGAAATTAAATTGCTATAAATTATCAAGATATAGAGTTTAAAATATCTAAATTTACAGAACAAATTTCTGGTAAAGTGTATACAATAACTGTTGGTTTTTAAACAGAAAACAATGTATGAATGTACCAACACCAATTCTATTTCAGAGCATTTTGTACAACCTTTTCTTATTCTGTTAGATATATATAACCACCTACTGAAAACATAAGAATTTTATGTTTTTATAAGAACTTAGATTTTATGGTATCTACTAATAGATGTCTAAAATGTGGAGCTACCCAATATAAAAAGTCTCATTTTGCTCTTTTTCTAGGAGAGGTATATGTACAAAAATGTAAGTGCAAAAAAAAAAAAAAAAAAAAACCAGATCCTTTGCAGCAATTCAGATGTATCACTTGTAAAAGATCAGAAGAGGCAGGTATCTTTTACGTTGCTCCATAGCTTAAGTTAAAAACATACCTGACTCTTTGGTGGTAGCTCCTCCTTCCTTTGGATCTTCAGACACTAGTAACTGCGTGGAGCATTTCCTTTCCTGGGACTTCTCCACAGCTGCTATCTAAAAAGTTTAAAACAAGAAAACCCAACTTTTGGGGAAACTGTTGTATTAAACTAGGAAGCTGAAAATAACTTGGGAAAGGTTTCCTCATTTTCCAAAATAGTCCATACAACAGACATATGACACAAACATTTTTCCTAGAAATATATTCAAAAGAAACAATCTCTTACCTTATGTTTGGATAAAAGAGGACTGTAGGAAAAAAGAAAGAAAAAAGAATTTTAAAAAAATTACAGCAGCAATATGCTTCCAAACAAATGTCACTGAAATGGCTATAAAAAAATACAGCTTCTCTGGATTCTAATATTAGCACAGAACATTTCCACGGCTGAAACATTACCACTGGCTCACATAGTTCAAAGTGCAGCTATATCATGTGTTTATCTCCTTAGATGGCCAACTGCTATTGGAAACCCCCAAAGAAGCAACAAATGCTATATTCCAGAAGAAGAAAAAAAGAAGAATGACAACCTTTTGCTAATAAAGACGATTTCACACACACATATTTTAAAAATTTCAGTTTATGTCATTTTAGTCTAAAATAGATTATGGTTGAAGATAATTTTGTTGGAATTCTCCATGGAAACAGATAACAAAAAGTATAAATATTAAATGTTAGGGAATACCCAAGATAACAGAATGTACATATCCATTAAAGGCACACACAAAAATGCTCATCGCCACTTTATTCATAATATTCACAAAACAAGAAACATCCTAAAAGTCTACTAATAATAGAATGAATAAATTGCTGCATAGTCATCCAAGAAATCTGTACTGCAATAAAACAGAGCAAACCACTGTTACATGCAACAACATGGAACAAGACATACTGATGGGTGCAAGAATCTAGACATAAAAATCTATATTCTGCATGATCCCATTTATATAAAATTACAGGACAGGCAAATATATTGTTATAGAGTCCAGATAGTGGTTACTATTGTGGGTGGGTACGAAGTTGGCAGGTGCATGAGGGAGCCTTCTGCAGGGCTGGAATGTTCCATATCTTGTACCTTGCTCAGAGTGGTAGTGACATAGACATATACGTCTATGCAAAAATTCATCAAGCTTGTACACTTTATGTGTAACTTGAAAATATTTTTAAATATTAAAAAATTTAAAAATGATATGGGGGGAGTTATCCAAATTTTGAAGCATAAAGACACCATGCTCATGTCATGTTCAATAAATATTTGTTAGTGAGTTCTTTATCTGCTGTATGAGCTACACAACAATTACCTGGCACTGTCTCACTATTAACAAACAGAGCTTTAGTTTACTCTCCATGATTCTGAGAGAAAAGGAGAAAAAGTTATCCATAAAATGGAAAGTCTTTTAGCCTTTGTATTGAGAATTCATGTTCTAAATTCCAGAAATTTGCACTAGTTTAAACACTATTGTCTCCCTTTGTCTTCAGAAATCTGGATCTCTGAATAAGGAATTTTTTTTAAAAAAGTAAGTGCCTTATTATTATTATTAGTTTAAAAAATACAACTCCTTGATACAATTCAAGCAACTGAAAATTACCTGGTAAATGCAGCTTTTCTTCTGCAAGATTTTGGTTAGATACTGTATTCTATTTGCTTTCTAGCATCAGACTACTCCTAAAAATGTTATGTTTTTACTACAACACATAAACATTAGCAAGTTGAATCGAAAGCCCTAATACACAATTCTGTCCATCTGAACTGCTCATCTCCTAACCAAAAAGAGATCAAAATCAGAAGTTATATTTTTAAATATCTAATCAGAAGAATCTTTTGAACCTACACAAAGTTGACCTTTTACTGAGTTCAGTGTGAGAAACTCAATAAAAACTGAGAAAGGAATGTAATAAATGAAAGATTCTCCCTGGGGCCTGAAAGCTTGGGGGGATGAATAACTCCTCCCTCCTCAGGCCCAGTCCCAAGGCGCAAGGCCACTTGTGCGACAAGTGCACATCAGCAAGATAGCAGAAGCAGGAAGAGGGCTGGCCGGAAGACACGTATCCCTGAGGATGGAGAGATTGGCCATCCGGGTACCACATAGCAGTTACATCAGACAGGGACACTTCCTGTTTACAGGAGACCATAAAACCTCGGCCCCATCCTCATGTGGGGCTGACGCCATTTTAGGCCTCAGCCCGTCTATACCCAGGTGCTCATTAAAACAGTGTGTTGCTCCACACCGCTTTGTGCTGTTGGTTGGTGCACTCTTGGGATTTGAACAAATACTAGTGCCTTGCACCTGGTGCCGAAACCCGGGCCCTTGCTCACAACCTCTGTACCTTATTCCTAAAACTGTCCACCTCCTTCAATATGTTGATGATCTGCTCCTGTGTAGCCCCTCTCAAAAAGACTGCCATGCCCATGCTATCTGTCTTTTAAATTTCTTGGCAGAGTGGGGGTATCGGGTCTCCCCTAAGAAAGCACAAGTAAGCACCCCCTCAGTCACCTACCTAGGCCTAGCTCTTACCCTGCAAACCCGAGGGCTCACAACCGACCGCACACTGCTCCTCCAGTTCCTCCCACCTCCGCAAACTAAGCAAGAAATTCTCTCTTTTCTAGGACTAGTGGGATATTTTAGGCTCTGGGTTCCTTCCTTTGCTCTACTTGCCAAACCGTTATACTAAGCTACTAAAGGCCCTCTCCATAAGCCTTTAAACCCTGCACAGCCGATTACCCACCCTTTCCGTCTGGTCCAGAAGGCTCTCATCTCAGCCCCCGTTCTCACTCTCCCAGACCTCACCAAACCTTTCTCTCTATCCCGACGAACGGCGTGGAGTTGCACTACATGTTCTAACCAGTCTAAGGGACCCGCCCTCCAGATTGTTGCCTACCTCTCTAAACAGCTCACAACCACAGTTCTCGGATGGCTTGCCTGTCTCCAAGCACTGGTGGCAGCTGCTGTCCTCACCCTTGGAAGCCTAAAACTATCCCTTCGTGCCAACCTAACAGTTTATTCAACCCATAACATCAAAGACATGCTAGCTCACTGCAGTGTACTAAGTCTCATGTCTGCCCCACGGCTCCTTCAACTGTATGCTCTATTCATAGAAACTCCCCAAATCACCGTGCTAACCAGCTCCCATTTAAACCTGGCCATGCTCTTACCTGAAGCCACTACCTCCCAAGACCCTGCACACTTCTGTGTGGACACCATTCAAACCTTTCTTATACTTTTTCCAAACCTAACAGATCAACCCCTTCCAGATGCCTCATTTACTTGGTTTGTAGATGGCAGTTCCTTCCTACATCAAGGATGCCGACATGCTGGCTATGCTATAGTGTC